>NC_000011.10:36423636-36575151 GCF_000001405.40 Homo sapiens | reverse complement strand
GGCCCACTCCCATGCTTCTCACTCACGTCTCCCATTCCATCACAAGACTCCTTCACCACCACAGTGAAGGGGCCATTCAGGTAATCATCAAGGTCTTGGGATCTCATGCCTTCCAAGATGTCTTCTTCCATGTCCATCAAAGCAGACACCAAAGCTGAATCATAGCGGAACCTCTTTGCAATGGTGTCCACTGGGTAATCATCCACAGAGGATGATAGTCCAGACAGCCCATCAATAATGCCAACATCAGTGCTGGAAGACACATTCTTCAGAGGTGGCTGCCACTCAAAGTGGTGGTAGCCTGGCAGAAGTACCTTCTCAGCATTCCGAAGGGCATGCAAAGGCTGAAAAATCTGTCTCCCTGTGATGGCTTTCACAGTCCTGTACATCTTGTGGTACTGACTGCAGCTGAGGAAGGTGTTGACACGGATGGCCAAGCAAACAGCTGGCTGCAGGCCAGAGCCCTTTCCCTGCATGATGGCCTCCAGCTCATCAGCTTGCCTGTGCTCATTCCTCGCCCTCAGAGCCAGCAGGAACAAGGTCATGCACACGGACTTCACATCTCCACCTTCTTCTTTGTCAGCAAAGGCTTTGACTTGCAGCTTGAGCTCCCTCAGCCGGTGCTTCTGAGCTCTCCGAGTCAGCGACAGAAGATGTTGGCGGGGCCGGCCCCCTTTATTAATGTGCACAAAAATCTCTTTTGATTCCTTGTGACTTGAGATGTGGTGATTATATTTTTCCAAACTGACCTCCTCATTGCACTCTTTTGCTGGACATTTCACCATCAGGGAATTCAAGACGCTCAGAAAGGACTTCACTGGACTCTCCAGGTCAGTAGGGAAGCATGGATATCGGCAAGAGGGACAATAGCTGCCCATGACTTTGAGGCATCTGAGAATGCAGACCCGGCAAAAGACATGCTTACAGTTGGTCTCCACAGGGTCAGCCAGAATGTGTTCACAGATCTGGCAGGAGATGGATTTCACAAAGTGCTCTGGGAAGTCCACTGCAAGGAGCTTGGTACTAAGATGTATCTTACTGCAGTTGGCGATCTTCTTCATGACATCCTTGCTGCTGATCCTTGCCTGAGCTCTTCTCTTGTGCTGACGGGCTTGTCTTGCTTGGTCAAGCACAGTTTTGAGTTTTTTGCTGAGCTGCAAGTTTGGCTGAAGACTCTTCCTCTTGAGTCCCCGACGGGCAGTGTTGCAGATGTCACAGGATGGTGTGTGGGGGTGCCACTCCATGGTCACGTTCCTCGGGAAGTAAACCTCACATGGGGCACTGCTAAACTTCCTGTGCATGATGCTCCAGCAGTTATGGCAGAACTCAGTGGGGTGGATCGAGTCAACATCTGCCTTCACATCGATCCGGAAAACCTTGGCAATGAGGTCCGGCCAGGAAGTAGCTCTCTTTTCCTTCTTTCGTAAAAGGCCTAGGGTTTTACCATCCACAGGACCATGGACTGGATATCTCCTGTTGTGCTCATCAGCTCTAAAAGAATTCCCACAGATGCGGCAGAGATGTCGAAGGTTGGCTTGATGGATCGCTTTGCCTCTTGCTTTCTCGTTGTCGTGAAATTTCTTTGAAAACTTAGGGTGGGCTTTTAACAATGGCTGAGTTGGGACTGGCTTCTGACCATCAGCCTTGTCCAGGACTGCTGGAGATTGCTCCAGAGAGGGTTTCCCCTCAAAGGAATCCTTCTTTTCCTTTTGAGCTTCTTCAGGTGTCTTTTCAAAGGATCTCACCCGGAACAGCTTAAATTTCCATTCTGAAAATTTAATATGTGGGTGCTGAATTTCATCTGGGGCAGAACTGAGTCCCAAGGTGGGTGGGAAAGAGGCTGCCATGCTGGCTGAGGTACCTGAGAACAATGAAAACAAGTCATATTAAGACCAATATCAATATCCCACTGATGTATCTTATAAATAATAAAAATAAATACATTCAATTATTTATTCATGTATTCCAAAAGATATGTATTAAATCTTCTACCTTAATATATCATGTTAGGTGCTGATCATAGAGTTATTTCCTCTTCTGACAGTGTTTATGGTTACTTATACCTGTTACACACATATAAGTGCTTAAATATATACATGTAAAGTTTTATTTCCTTCCACAAAAACCTTAAGGTCTTTAAGGACAGAATCTTTGATTCATCTTTGCCTCCCCAAGGGTCCCAGTATACATTAGGTGCTCAATAGTTATTTGTTCAGTAAATGTAAAGATAAACAGGCTACTAAAATCAAAGAAAAGTAATATTTTCCACATTGTATTAGCCTCATTGTACTAGCTGGACAATGTATTTCCAGCTTTTTAAAGCAGTCTTCCAGGGGGTTGGTTGTTTATTTCTTCCAAATGGGTCATAAAAGGATGATAAAGCTGCAAACCCAAAGAAACTAATTATTCACTACTTGAAAGGATGAAGTGAATTTTGAGCTTTATGAATGCAAACTAATAATAAGTATCGTGGATAGTAATTATGCTTACAATTTTAATTAGTGAATGCTGTTGTAAATTATAAGGCTGTGTCTACATTAGAAACAAAAAACACGGAACTCTAAACCTGCAACAAACCTGAGTGTACATAGACTGAGATTCTAAGGGACTTTTAAGATGAAAAATTCACATGGTTTCAGATAAAACTCACACAGGTCATCCTGAAAGTCACTGTTGGTCGATGGTCATTAGCACTATAGTTTGTAACATAATAAGAAGAGGTGGGAGTAATGTTTCTCTTCTGGTAAAAAACATTGGCAATTACATATGCCAGGAAACCCGACTGATTTGAGTTGTAATGCACAGATCGCTAGCGATGCAGAAAAAAAGTCAAACAATGCCATGTGAAGTGTACTCTCTAGACCCAATTAGATCAATCTTTCCCAAATTACTTAGTACATGATTGGAAAGAGAGCAGCTGTATTTTCAATCCATCATCCCATCCACCTATCTCAAATTTGCCTGGGTTAATTCTTTTGACCCACCAGTTATATCAAGTAACATATGTTTTTCCCTCAATTGATCAACTAACAAAATCGATGAGAATTTTTATAGTCACATAGTTATGGAGACAAATTCTCAGATGAACATACTTTGAGCAGGGGTGGGATTAGGAGGTACGGAGGGGCAAGGGTTAATGCTGACAGCTGTTACCAAAGCCTCTTTTCAAGTCCCCGCTTTACTGAAGTTTGTTCTATCTTACATGCATCACACATCAGAAATTGGTGTTTTGGGGCACAGGCACAGTGGCTCATGCCTGTGATCCCAACACTTTGGGAGGTCAAGGCTGGTGAATCACTTGAGGTCAGGAGTTCGAGACCAGCCTGGCCAACATGGTGATACTCCATCTGTACCAAAAATACAAAAAAATTTAGCCGGGCATGGTGGCAGGCACTTGAAATCCCAGCTACTCGGGAGGCTGAGACAGGAAAATTGCCTGAACCCAGGAGGCAGAGATTGCAGTGGGCCAAGATCACGCCACTGCAACCCAGCCTGGATGACAGAGCAGGACTCTGTCTCAAAAACAAAGAAATGGGCGTTTTTCATAAAAATTAAAAGCAAATTTCTAAGACTTGATTCACAGAGAAATCCTATTAGATTGTTCCCTATGCAGGACTATGCAAGAGTTAAACAATACACGGCCATTTCAAATGTCTCATTAACCTCAAAAAATATTTCAACTGCAGCCCAACGAACACCTCAAAATTGCTTATAGTTCAATTCTGCTTCCTAATTCTCTTCTGTGGCAGGTGCTAGGTCTTTCCCTGTGGCTCCCCTGCCTCTTAGGTTGAACTCAACCCCAAATGCCTTCTCATTCCTTTAGCATTTTACTTCCCAGCCTATACTTAAAGCACTTGCTCTCTGGTATTCCAAGACAATATTTTGAGTAATTCTTTTTAAAATGCATGACCATCTCTAGAGCTCATCAAGTTTAATATTGACTTTCACATTGAGTAAGTCAATCATAAGGCATGTTTGTAGGATCCTTAGAACTATCTCACTTCCCTACACATTTCTCCCCTGACTCCCACTGGCCTGCATTACTATACCAAAATCTACCAAACTACATTTATTTAAATACTCCTGTGGAAGGCAACCAAAGCAAAAGTGGACAAATGGGATTGCATCAAGTTAAAAGCTTCTGCACAGCAAAGTAAACAATCCACAAAGTGAAGACACAATCCACATGATGGGAGAAAATATTTGTAAGCTATGCATCTGACAAGAGATTAATAACCAGAATATACAAGGAGCTCAAACAACTCTACAGGAAACAATCTAATAATCCGATTTTAAAATAGGTAAAATATCTGAATAGACATTTCTCAAAGGAAGACATACAAATGGCAAACAGGTATATGAAAAGGTGCTCAACACCACTGATCATCAGAGAAATGCATATCAAAACTACAATGAGATGTCATCTCACCCCAGTTAAAATAGATTGTATCCAAATGACAAGCAATAATGAATGCTGGCAAGGATGTAGAGAAAAGGGAACCTTCATACACAGTTGGTAGGAATGTAAATTAGTACAGCCACTATGAAGAATAGTATGGAGGTCCTCAAAAAAACTAAAGATAGAATTATTATATGATCCAGCAGTCCTACTACTGGGTATTTATCCAAAGGAAGTTAAATCAGTATGTTCAGAGACATCTACACTCCTGTGTTTATTGCTGCACTATTTTTTATCCTTACTTGTGATTTTTACTCCCTAAAATAGACGTGTATTACTTTTGGTAGAAGATAGAACTTTTAAGAACTAGACTTAGATTAGATATTTTTTATCTATTCAATTAGCAAAGATTAAAACTACTTATATGGTTCAGCATTAATGAAGGCATGGAGAAATTAAGATATCTCCATACATTCTTGGGAGGAGTATAAATTGGTATAAAATACCTACTAGACAATTTAGCAATATCTTTAAAATTTTTGAATATATTATCTTTGATGCAATAAATCTCCTTTTGGGAAGTTATCCAATAGAAACATTTCCACAGGAATGCAACAATATTTATATAAAGACAGAGAGAGATTTGTTTCAAAAGCTGTTACTTTGAAAAAGCAGGAAACAATATAAATAATTACCCAAAGGGCATTATTATTAAATAAACTATGGTCCAGACATACAGTGGAAAACCATGCAGAAAATTTAATTTTCTGTATGCACTGATGCATATGTGCAATTTCTGTATGCATCAGTGACATGGAAAGATGCTCACATGAAAAAGCAGAGAATAGAATGACAATAGCAAGTATAGTAGGATTCCCTTTATGTAGATACGTTTGTATTTGTACATATATGAAATCACAGGAATTCTGAAAGGATACACACTAAAATCTTAACAGTGTTTAATTTCTGAAAAAAATAGAATTGGCATTGATAAGAGGGCCTTTTGCACTTTTTATTTTATTAATTTTTGTATCATTTGAATTATTCAAAACAAGCAAGTAACTATTTTTATTAATTTTGTGATACATTTATTTTGGATAAAACTGTTTTAAAGACTAGCTGTATATGTGCTCATAGTCACTTTTCCATATTTTCTTCTAAATTTCCCCCAGAAAAACTTAAGATCTGGCTAATTTCAAATATGACCACCACCCTTAGCTTTTCTTTCTTTTCGGATGAACATGGAGAAAGCAGGCTAAAATATGGACCTGTAGACAGCATGAAGTTAGGATTGTGAAAGAGTTATCTTGGATTCATATTTTGACACTCAGAAACCTTGCAAATGCTTGATCTCCTCTCTTCTAACAAAAGGTCTCAGCAGTAGACCAGCCTCGGGATCTCAAAGGCTGAGTGGTTGGTGCTGGCTCAGCCCTGTCCCCACCGGCCACTGCCATCTCGACATTGCCATCTGACATCAGAGCTACAGGCGTGCCTCCCTCCACACAGCACAGATTCATTTTGACAAACTAGTTTGGGGTGGCTTGGACAGTGCAGGAACAGTAGTTTCTGGTGAGTGATATCATTAGTTCAGGAGGCCAGGGTGCAGCAGCAGCAGCAGCCCCCCATTTCCATCCCAGCTGCCCACCCTATACCCACACACATACACCCCGTTACTTGGCCCACAATCTTCCCTCCTAACATCTTCAACTTAGTCTGTACACAATTTCCAAGTAATAACTGTGTGCTCAAGTGTGACCTCTCATTATCACACCTGTTCCACTTATTCATTCACTCTGCAAATACTATCGTCTGTTTTTTGCCAAACATCATGTATCAAAAATGTGACAAAATAAAAAGCCTTTTTATAAGTCTCAAGTATCCACAAAATAACACTACAATTCTTGCTCTTCCTTCAGACAACCTCTTGCATGAACCACTTCAGAAAGAGAAATATATCATCACAATCCCTGGCCAGGAATCCTGACTCAAGAACATAACCTCAAAGCAGGGTCTCTACCATGGCAATTCTCAAAATTAATACAAATCAGAATCATGAGCGAGTTTGTTTTTAAAAAGAAATGCAGATCATCAGGTCCCAAAGAGTCTGGCTGTTTGGGAAGGAATCCAGAAATTGCATTTTTAAACATTCAGTGATTCTAAAATGAGTGAATATTTTGAGAAACATTGGTCTCCTACTTAGGCCAATCTAGTTCAGGAAATGCCTGGCAATACTTGTTAATACCTGGGAAACCATACATTTCCTCCCACCCTATTATGTTCCTGATTATTTTTCTCACCTGAACTACCAGTATTCATTTCCAAGAGTCTCACACCTTACCTTCTGCTGATTTGTACACATTCATTCAAGAAGCACTCCTTAAACCTTTCCTCTGACAATAGCATTCATTTATAGTAATTCAGATATTTTGCATCTTTCTATGAACCTTCAGTGGCCCTAAACTTGGCCTCTTGTACCTTTTTTATTTTCATACATTAAAAAAAAATTGATGTAGCTTTGCTCATTCCATCCCCTCATCACCTGGAAGGAAAAAAAGCTCAAGCACTTCTAGTTAGAAACATAAAAATGTAATAAATATTTTGGCTCAAGGCATGAAAAGTATGAGTGTTACCTTGCTCAGCAGGCTGCCTGGCCAAAGTGTTGAGATGTCTGCAATTTGGTTGATATTACTCAATACCAAAGAGAAGGCAAAGTGTGTTCTCTGCTCTCTCCTTGCCCTCTTGTTTCTCAGAACATGCTGCTGAGCTGTTTATCAGCTTCCACTGTCCTTCCCAGCCTCCCCCACCATGGAGGGCTAACCACAAATGATGGCAGCCAATCATGGGCCAGGAGACCCCAGCTCCAGCTGCCACCTGGCTCTTTAGGAAGCTTAGCTCAGGGGGGCCTGAGTGTAGAACCATGTGCGAGAGTTTGCTGGGGCACTGGCTGCCAGTTCCCTCCCTGAGAATGTTTGGGTTGGAAATGGTCTTGTCAGTCAGTATAAGCCCCAGCTTTTGCCAGGGTTCTATATCTCTGTGCCTCAGTTCCACATCTGTAAAAAGGAAAGGCTAGTAGTATATACCTCAAAGAGTCAATAATGTTATACAATGACAGTTATTATAGGAAAATACTTGAAACGATGTCTGCCTCTTTGTAGATGTTCATCAGATATTAACAACACTATGGAATTTTTTTATTATTATCTTGAAATGTTATCCAAACAATCTCAGAACCTTTCAACCTGGTCAAATCTTGCTGAGGAAGGTTGATGCTCCTTGTAACTACTGTAAGTTTAAACATTACTCGAGTATGGACATCAACAGACCTGGATTTAAATCTTGACTCAGGCCTTTGATTCATTACTTAAACTTTAGGAACTTCAATCTCATCACCTGCAACCTAAGATTAATAATATTAGTCCCCATTATTGAGAGCAATGGGCTAGGCTTGTAAGTGTTTTATGTGTCATTTAATTTTCACAACAGTCATACGCATTTGATAATATTATGTCTAAAAAGAAGCAACAGAAGTTCAGAGCAATGGAGTGACTTGCCCATGGTCACACAGCCACTACTTAGTGAAGGTGGGGTGGAATTCCAAAGCTCATGTTCCTAATCACTCCATTATACCATGAAAGGAGAATAATGAAAGCCACTTTGTAGTAATAGTCTAAGGATAATTCAAGAATGAATAGGTGTATACACACCTCTGTCTCTGTTTCAAAACCCCTTTATAATTCTCAGACCAGCTTTATCCCCAAAGTCTTTCTGTGTTCAGCTAATAAGTGAGAGATTCCTTGCTTGTCTGATTCTCAGCAAAAACTGTCAAGGAGGCAGGTGCAAGGATTTCACTGTTCTGTGCTGCCCTCATTCGACGCTCCTCTTACATCTCCCACTCTTTCGCATTTGGACCTACTTAACCACACAACAGCCCTGGGGCCACAGCTGCTCACTAAAGACAAGGCAGAAGCCACTGCAGTAACACTGGGAGAGAGGAGAAACTGGTCTGTGGCTTCTAGGAGCTTCAGTGTGTTTTTCCCCAAGGAGATGCAGCCTTTACCTGAGGGTCATATTTGAGGCAACATGGCGAGAAAGGCAGGTGAGAGCTAAGAATTTCCTGAAGACAGTGTTCATGTTCAACAGGTGGCCCTGAGCCCTCCTTACACAATGAGGTCAAGTAGAGAGGAGTCATAACATGACTTACATGCAAGAGGGTGTCCTTCCCCCCCCATCCTCCTGCTCCTTAAAATCTTGCATCTCCAATGGACTTACAGGAAGAAAAAGAAAAGGCCAGATGTTCATGCTTCCCCTTGAAGGAAAGAGCAAAATAATAATATCCCACAGTATTAGAACAAAGCAGCAAGTTCAAGGATCAGGCTTCAGTTCTGTAGGTTCACTTGGAAGTTATGTAAAACTAAAGTGACAAAATGCACTGGTTTGTTTTGGACTTTCCTTGGTTTAGCACCGAGAGTCTACGGTGAACAGAGTTGGTTGGTTGCCCATAACCTCCAAAGCAGAGTTAGAAAATTTCTCTGAGGTCAATAATTTATAAATGGAATCCTTTTCAATTTTTCTTGGAAAAGTAAGCTGGTCAAATGGACTCATCAAAGAATGGTGAAGGTGTGAGGTTCAGACCAGATAAGGGAGGAGCTTTCTCTCTCTCTCTCTCTCTCTTCAAATCATATTTAACATAGATTTCTGTATTGCTCAATTTTTCATCAGTCATGTATACTTTTATAATTAGGAAAAATCACAATATTTACAAATAAAGTACTTAATGAATTTTAAATGAGACATAACAAAATATTGGGTGCCTATGAAGATACAGTTTTCTAATTGCTCTGTTTGATAAAAGTCTGGATTTGTATACATCACCAGTATTTCCATGTTTCTCCCAATTTCACCTCCCAATTTCTCCCATCCGTGTTGAAATCAAGTCACTTGTCTCCTATTGAGAAGTAAGACCTCCCTTGGATCACCTGGAAAAAACAAGTTAAATAATGGCCCATTGTCCCTCTGGACACTAACATTTTATCCACTGTCTTTATTTCAAATCTTTTCCACATGACAAGCAAACCTTAACTTGCATCATGAAATAGCAAAGACAGAGCTGCCTAGGATCCATGTTGTTCCAAGCAAATTAAAAATAAAACACTGCTGACATGTATTGGCCAATTGTTGCAAGAGACAAAGAACGAAAAGGGTGAACTAGAGCCTGGACAACTTGATGCCAAGCTCCAGCCTTGAGCGCAGACCTCCCAGACTAGTGATTAGCTGTGGTTAGTCCTTGAAGTGCCGACAGGCCCTTCACTGGCCCTGCTCCTCCAGGCAATGTGCTCCCTGCATCCCTGCTTTCACCTGCCTCTCCATCCAAGCCCCAACCCCCCTGAGCAGGTTGCCTACACTTATTCCCCTTGGCTCCCAAAGGCCCTTTTAAGAGACCTTTTCAAATTCAATCTCTTCCCAGACAGCAATGAGTTCCAATTGCTGATAACAATCAAAATCTACTCCTGCAGCCATGGTCTGAGTGTGTGAACGCTGCATTTTGAGCTCTTATCATAATTCAGCAGATGCTGTTTACGGACATTGAGATTACATACATAAGCATGTATCTATACATCTCTAACTAGCAAAACTCTTGTCTTCTAACATCACCAATTTGAAAGCCAGAACTAGAAGGGAACTTAGAGGTTACTTGCCCCAACGCATGTGTTTTATTTATTTATTCCTGAAGGGCAAAGTGTTCCTGTTCAATGTCACAGAAGGGAATTAGTAGCAGAAATAGCATTACAAATCCGATCTCCCAGCTCCCAGGACAACGTTCTTTCCACTACACTGAAAAGGGAACATCCCTCCCTAACCCATCCAAGATGCATCTTAGACGGTAAAGAAACTCAAGCTGGCAATGGAGCAGAACCTTAACAGGTCGTCGCTAGATCGGAGCCCTGGGTGAGCATGCAAACTCGCCACCCTGCACTGGCGGCGGAGAGACAGCGTCTCCACACGCTCATTTCTCCCCCACTTTCTCTGTCTTAAAATTGTTTTCTAATTAACTCAATGTGAATTACCCCTGTTAGTAAAATTTCTAATGTGTTATTAATTGCTCTAAACGTCGGCTGCAGCTCACTCTCCATGCTTTCAGGAGATCTGCTGCGGGCTTTCTGATTTTAGCTACACTGTTTTCTAAGCAGCTAGTGCCACCGTGTGGGCAAAGAAAAGCCTATATTCTTGACTATCAGAAAAAGCCATGAGAAAAAGTCTCAGAAGTTGTTGAATCCATGAACTGGCTAAGAAGAAATCATGTATTTGCTTCTCTTCTCTTCCCTCTTCCCCTTATCCCAATCTCTATTCTCCCTACCCCCTCTTCCACCATCACTTACCTTTGTAGAAATCCCCCATAATTCCTATAGACTAGGAAACAGAGCCAAAAGCTTAAAAGGTCAAAGTAATTTGCACAAGACCCCACACTTCATTAACTCCAGTCTTCCACAAAGGTCAAGAGACAACACAGAACTCCATTCTCATTGTCTTGCTAATCCTGACCAGTCCCAGAAAATGTGTAATAAATGCCTTCTCCTTATTCCTCAAACAAGAGAAGATATGAGGACCATGTCTTCATGAGAAAATTTGAAGAGCTGAGAGTAAAGGCCGGTGTATAAGATTGCTAAATATCCTTTCTAATCAGGAGACATCTGTTCCATTTCCAAACCTTACAAAATAGTAAGGCATTGTTTTGCCTCCTCATCCTACTTACCTCCATAAGATCACAGATTGAGTTCAAACATTGACATAGGAGGAACATGACCTAAATTTCTCAGAGCTAATATACAGGTTTGGGGAATAAGCTTTCTCAACTCTACAGTAAACATAATGGCCTGAATGCCTAATTGCAGGATACCAATAAATGTCTTTACAAAAAGCCAAACTAGGCAACTGCCCAGTTTGCCTCAGTGAGGGCTCTCAAATTTCACAATATTTTTTTGAGGATAAGAAAGGGTTAGTTTTTAAGACAAAGGAGCTTTAGCTTTAATTTAATTTAATTATGTTTAAACTATAATAACTATGTGGCTTTGTTTTATATATAATGAGAACAATTGCTAAATTTTTCATAAATTTTAATTAAAAACTATATTCACTTTCAACTTATGAACAGTTAGTGCTTCTGGAGAGAGATGGAAAAGGAGCATCATTTTCTGATTATTTTTGTAAAAAAATCTGCTATGAGAGAGAGAGATTATTACAGGAATTGGCTCACACAATTATGGAGGTCAAGAAGTCCCACAATCTGCTGTCTTCAAGCTGGAGAACCAGGAAAATCCGTAGTGTAATTCAGTCCAAGCCCGAAGTCCTGAGATCCAGGAACACGGATGTCTGAGGGCAGGAGAAGATGGACATCCCAGCTTAGAGAGAGCAAATTAGCCCTTCCTCCACTTCTTTGTTCTATCTGGGCCTTAAACACATTAGGTGATGCCCATCCACATTGGTGAGGGTGGATCTTCTTTACTCAGTCTACTGACTTAAATGCTAATCTCTTCCAGAAGTATGAACACAGACATACCCAGAATCGTTTTAGTAGCTATATGGGTATCCCTTCGCCCAGTCAAGCTGACACATAAGATTAACCATCACAAGCCTTAAATGGGTTGATTAAGTTAAGATGGGGTCATTAGAGTGGGTTCTAATCCAATCTTACTGGTATCCTTATAAGAAAAGGAGATTTGGACATACACACAGAGACACCAGAAGTGTGTGTGTACAAATGAATGACCAGGTGAAGACACAGTAAGAAGGCAGTTGTCTGGAAGCCAAGGACAGAAGCCTCCCGAGAAATCACACCTGCCTTATGGGAATTGGATCACACAATTATGGAGATTGAGAAGTCCCACAATCTGCTGGCTTCAAGTTGGAGAACCAGGAAAACCACTGGTATAAATCAATAAATCAAACTTTGATCTTCTACTTCAAGCCTCCATACCATGAAAATATATATTTTCTTATGTTTAAGCTACCCAGTCCATGGCATTTTGTTATGGTAGCCCAAGCCAACTAGCACAGTGGAGATCAGGTCCCTTATCTTGGGCATTTCCTTCATCCACCCACCCAAGGAGGAAGAAGAAGAGGTCAAATTGGAAGATACTCATTGGGCTTCATTCTTAATGAGTGAGTATGGTTATCATGGCCATTATTATCCATCTAATGTTGAGCTGTGGTGTGGGGTACTGGTTAAAAACCCAGGTGTTGGAGTGCCGTAACATTGCTTTAAATTCTAGCCCCACCTCTTGCAACCTGTGTGATTTGGGGCACATTTCATAACCTCTCTGACTCCATTTTCTCATTTGAAGTTGAGAATAATAATATGAAGCTGGTAATGTTCTTGGCAGAATTAAGTGAGTTAAAACATTTGAGATGCTTTGCACACCGTTAAATACAATGTTATCTCAAGAACTCACAATCCTCCTCCAAAATCCACTCCTCTTACAGTCTTTCTCAGCTTGCTTAATGGCAACTCTACACTTCAAGGCAAACTCTTAGAATTATCTTTCATTTATCTCTTCCTCTAAATCCTCATGCCCAATCAGTCAACAAATTCTAATCTTGTTAAAACTATAAGTCAAATCACTTTACTTCTCTAATCAAAACCCTCCTATGGTTCCTATGGTTCCCCATCATGGTTAGAATAAAAGCCAAAGGCCTCTCAAGGGCCAACAGGGAACATGACTTTCCCTGCCTTTTCCATCTTTTCTCCCACTTACCCGCAGCCACAGTAGCCTCCTTGCTGGTCCTCAAAATGTCCGGATACGCTGACATTGGCCATTCTCTCTGCTTAAAATATTACCTTAGACACATTAGACACTGCTGTATAGTCAGGGGTCTTCAGAAAAACGGAGCCAATAAAATAGAGAGAGATGAGGAATTGGCTCACACAATTATGGAGGCTATCACACTCTGCCATCCACAAGCTAGAGACTAAGGAAAGTCAGTGTTATAGTTTCAGTACCAATCCAAAAGTCTGAAGAGCAAGAACAAGTCTTAGTCCAAGGCTAGGAAAATAATAATTTCCCAGCTCCAGCTTCAGCAATCAGGTAGAAAGAGAAAAAAATTTACCCTTCCTCCTCCTTTTTGTTCTATTTGGTTCTTCCATGAATTGCATGATGCCCACCTCATAGGGGAGGGCTTTACTCAGTCGAATAGTTTAAATGTTAATATCATTCAGAAAAACACTAACAGACACACCGAGGAATAATGTTTAGCCAAATATCTCAGCACTCTGTGATCCAGCCATATTGACACAAAAAAAAATTAATAAACAAATCTGGAGTAATTGGTAGGGCAGAAAGAGCTAACGAGATTGTGAATCAAGAGTGATGAAATTTGCATCAAAGGCTGAAGAGTAGGTCATCCAAAGACCTCACCTCATCCTCAGTTCCCTCTGTGGAATTCCAGGGAAAAGGAAGTTGTAGGAGACCATGCTCACCCATCTGCCTACAAGGCCTGGAGAACCAGGTACCTTGTACAGTGTGGAAAGGAAGGTGTAAAGAAGCCCCAAGAAAATCCATCTTTTCCTTCCTCAGCCCCACATTGTGCTCCAAGTGAATGAGCCATTTGGACTGCATCACCAGAGTACCCTCAACCTCCAGCTTCCAGTTTAATCCAGACATTGGGCAACACCATAAGTACCTGAGTATGGCAGGATGGAGACAGTATAATTGTGCCTAAGGAAGGTACATGGAAGATGTTGTCAACAAGATGGCTGCCTAGAAGTGTCAAAGCTCACCTCCTCCACAAAGAAGGACAAAACAACAAACAAATAACTACACTTTGAGTACAGCGTCTAACGCGGAACACTAGAATTCAGCAAGGAAGTGACGAAACCCTCTGAATCATGGAGATTCAAGATGGCAGTATAGAGAAGGAAATGAAGCACCCAGTCAAGATCAGCTCAGAGCCAAGAGGGATTCCCTATAGTGGGGAAAAGGGGGAAAGGTAGTCAGGAGATCCCTAGCAGTCCTCATTACCACTGCAGATGCCTGAAATCCTAGGTACAAAAGACCCCCACAGTCCCCACGGTCCTCACAGTCCCTAAGCCCAGTATACAAAAGCTGCCTGGAGTCCACACAGCTCCATTGCTCCAGAGTAGGAAATCATGCTGGGTTCTTCCCTCCCCAGGACCCAAGCTACTATGGAACTGCATCATGCTGAGAGCAGAGCCACCAATAAAGTGAATTCTGTTCTGGAAGCCAGTGTCCTGGCATATCCACATACCTGGAGCCCTGCCATCATTCCACCAGACAAAAGACTACAAAGCCAGGAATCCAAGACTCCATCTAGATTCAGTGGTTCAGCTGCAAACCCTGAACCTAAGCCCACACAGTGCCCTGCACCCCAAGAAACAGGTAGTGTAGAATAGGAAATAAACCTCCCCTAAGACCAGGGGCACTGCCATGCATGCCCCCATTACCCAAGGACTGATCACCCAATGCTTGCCACCACTGGCAATACTGTACTGATGACCAGCAGAGCTACCATGCCCAACACATACCCTACCAGGGCCTGAGAACCAGTCCACCTATCATTCCCCAACCCCAGCAAAGCCACATCACTGTCTCTACAAACACCATTGATATTGATTACAGCCAAAGAAATCACATTGATACTACACTACTGCAGCCACCGGTAACCAAATCCAAACCACTTTACCCAATCGACACTATAGGACAGACTCACACGAAAAAGTCTTTCTCTACAAAAGCTAGTCTGTAAAATTGGAAGAGGCAACTGCTCCAGCAGATGCACAGATGCTAATAAAGGAACACAAGAAACGTGAAAAAGCAGGGAAACATAACACCTCCAAAGGAATTCTCCTGTAACAGACCCTAAAGAAGAAAATCTATGAAATGCCTGAAAAGGAATTCAAAACAATGAGTATAAGAAAACTCAGCAAGATACAAGCAAATACAGATAGACAATTTAACAAAATCAGAAAAACAATTCAAGATCTTAGTGAGAAATTCAACAAAGAGACAGATACCATTAAAAAACAGAAATCTTGGAGGTGAAGAATTATATAAATTGAATAAAAAATATAATCAACAGCTTCAACAACAGACTAGATCAAGCAAAAGAAAGAACTTCTGAACTTGAAAACAAGTCTTTTGAAATAACCCAATCAGACAAAAAGAGAGAGCGAGAGTAAGAAAAATAAAAAAGAATGAAGAAAGCCTATGGACTTTATAAAATACCATTATGTGAACTAATGTTTAATTATGGGAGTTTGAGAAGAAGAGAGGGAAAAGGCAGAGAAACTCTAATAAAATATTAGCTGGAAACTTTTCAAGTCTTAGGAAATATGTACACATATGAATTCAAGAACCTCAAATGCCCGTAAACAGATTCAACTTCAAAAGATTCTCTCTGAAGCACTTTATAGTCAAACTGTCAAAATTCAAGGACAAAGAGAGAAGTGTAAAAACAGCAAGAGAGAAGTGTAAAAACAGCAAGAGAAGAGTGTCAACTCAAATATAAGGGAATCTTCATTATACTAACAGCATATTTATCAGCAGAAATCTTGTGGGCAAGGAAACAATGTGATAATATAGTCAAAGTGCTAAAAGAAAATAAAAAAAACTGTCAATCAAGAATACTACACCCAACAAAACTATCCCTCAGAAATGAAGGAGAAACAAAGTCTTTCCCAGAGAAGCAAAAAGGAAATTTATCACCACTAGACTGGTCTTACAAGAAATGATTAAGGGAGCCCTATATCTGAAAGCCAAAGGGCAATAACTACCATCAGGAGAACAAACAAAAGTATAGAACCCACTAGTAGAGCAGATACACAGATGCGAAAGAGAAAGTAACTAAAATTTGTCACCAAGCAAACCACACAAAGATAAACAGTAAGAGATAAAGAAACGAGGAAGAGAAATGCAAAACAACCAGAAAACAATAAAATGACAGAAGTAAGTCCTCACCTATCAATAATAACATTGAAAGTGAATGAATTAAGTTCCTCAATTAAGAGAGATAGACTGTTGAATGGACAAAAACAAACAGGACATAACCATGTGCTATCTACAAGAAACTCACTTCAACTACAAAGACACACATAGATGAAAAGTGAAAGGATGGAAAAAGATACTCCATGCAAATGGAAACCAAAAGTAAGCAGGAGTAACTACGCTTATATTAGATAAAATAGACTTTTAAATCCAAAACTGTAAAAACAGATGGCACCATTATATAATGATAAATGAATCAATTCAGTAAGAGGATACAACGATTGTGAATTTACATGCACCCAACACCAGAGAACTCAGATATGTAAAGCAAGTATTAGATCTAAAGGGAGAGACAGACTCCAATACAGTAATAGGTGGAAACACCAGCAGCCTACTGTATTAGCATTTAACAGATTATCAAAATAGAAAATCAACCAAAACTGGATTTAAACTGTAATACAGACCAAATGGACCTAACAGACACTTATAGAATGTTTTATCCAATACCTCCAGAATACACAACCTTCTCATCAGCACATGAAACATTCTCCAGGATAGATTATATGTTATGCCACAAAACAAGTCTCAACAAATTTTTTAAAACTGAAATCATATCAAGTATCTTTTCTGACCACAATGGAATAAAACTGGAAATTAGTCATAAGAGAAATTTGGAAACTAAAAATTTAAAATGTTATTGAAAGAAATGAAAATAGAAACACAATATACCAAAGCCTCTGGGCTTTGTAGGTATTTAATAAACATTAAGTGTTACATGGGAGTAATGAAAAGGTACCCTTCCCCTAAAAATATTGGAATTAAGTTCACCTCCTGAGACTTACACTATAAGATCAATATACTATAAAGTTTGATCCATAACAGATCAGAACAGACACATGAAAGGTCATATTAAAAAGACAAAATGCAGTGGTTTCCAACTTGAACAAAACTTGAGGATACATATTAAAATATGAAACAAAGATATTAACCAAAGTGAGAGGGTTCATTATTGTTACAGGTTGAATTGTATCCCCTTCCTGTAAATTCATATGTTGAATTTCTAACCACCAGTACCTCAGAATGTGACTGCATTTGAACTCTTTAAAGAAGTAATTAAGTTGAGGAGGAGCCAAGATGGCCGAATAGGAACAGCTCCGGTCTACAGCTCCCAGCGTGAGCGACGCAGAAGACGGGTGATTTCTGCATTTCCATCTGAGGTACCGGGTTCCTGTCACTAGGGAGTGCCAGACAGTGGGCGCAGGCCAGTGTGTGCGCGCACCGTGCGCGAGCCGAAGCAGGGCGAGGCATTGCCTCACCTGGGAAGCGCAAGGGGTCAGGGAGTTCCCTTTCCGAGTCAAAGAAAGGGGTGACGGACGCACCTGGAAAATCGGGTCACTCCCACCCGAATATTGCGCTTTTCAGACCGGCTTAAGAAACGGCGCACCACGAGACTATATCCCACACCTGGCTCAGAGGGTCCTACGCCCACGGAATCTCGCTGATTGCTAGCACAGCAGTCTGAGATCAAACTGCAAGGCGGCAACGAGGCTGGGGGAGGGGCGCCCGCCATTGCCCAGGCTTGCTTAGGTAAACAAAGCAGCCAGGAAGCTCGAACTGGGTGGAGCCCACCACAGCTCAAGGAGGCCTGCCTGCCTCTGTAGGCTCCACCTCTGGGGGCAGGGCACAGACAAACAAAAAGACAGCAGTAACCTCTGCAGACTTAAGTGTCCCTGTCTGACAGCTTTGAAGAGAGCAGTGGTTCTCCCAGCACGCAGCTGGAGATCTGAGAACGGGCAGACTGCCTCCTCAAGTGGGTCCCTGACCCCTGAACCCCGAGCAGCCTAACTGGGAGGCACCCCCCAGCAGGGGCACACTGACACCTCACACGGCAGGGTATTCCAACAGACCTGCAGCTGAGGGTCCTGTCTGTTAGAAGGAAAACTAACAACCAGAAAGGACATCTACACCGAAAACCCATCTGTACATCACCATCATCAAAGACCAAAAGTAGATAAAACCACAAAGATGGGGAAAAAACAGAACAGAAAAACTGGAAACTCTAAAACGCAGAGCGCCTCTCCTCCTCCAAAGGAACGCAGTTCCTCACCAGCAACAGAACAAAGCTGGATGGAGAATGATTTTGACGAGCTGAGAGAAGAAGGCTTCAGACGATCAAATTACTCTGAGCTATGGGAGGACATTCAAACCAAAGGCAAAGAAGTTGAAAACTTTGAAAAAAATTTAGAAGAATGTATAACTAGAATAACCAATACAGAGAAGTGCTTAAAGGAGCTGATGGAGCTGAAAACCAAGGCTCGAGAACTACGTGAAGAATGCAGAAGCCTCAGGAGCCGATGCGATCAACTGGAAGAAAGGGTATCAGCAATGGAAGATGAAATGAATGAAATGAAGCGAGAAGGGAAGTTTAGAGAAAAAAGAATAAAAAGAAATGAGCAAAGCCTCCAAGAAATATGGGACTATGTGAAAAGACCAAATCTACGTCTGATTGGTGTACCTGAAAGTGATGTGGAGAATGGAACCAAGTTGGAAAACACTCTGCAGGATATTATCCAGGAGAACTTCCCCAATCTAGCAAGGCAGGCCAACGTTCAGATTCAGGAAATACAGAGAACGCCACAAAGATACTCCTCGAGAAGAGCAACTCCAAGACACATAATTGTCAGATTCACCAAAGTTGAAATGAAGGAAAAAATGTTAAGGGCAGCCAGAGAGAAAGGTCGGGTTACCCTCAAAGGAAAGCCCATCAGACTAACAGCGGATCTCTCGGCAGAAACCCTACAAGCCAGAAGAGAGTGGGGGCCAATATTCAACATTCTTAAAGAAAAGAATTTTCAACCCAGAATTTCATATCCAGCCAAACTAAGCTTCATAAGTGAAGGAGAAATAAAATACTTTATAGACAAGCAAATGCTGAGAGATTTTGTCACCACCAGGCCTGCCCTAAAAGAGCTCCTGAAGGAAGCGCTAAACATGGAAAGGAACAACCGGTACCAGCCGCTGCAAAATCATGCCAAAATGTAAAGACCATCGAGACTAGGAAGAAACTGCATCAACTAATGAGCAAAATCACCAGCTAACATCATAATGACAGGATCAAATTCACACATAACAATATTAACTTTAAATATAAATGGACTAAATTCTGCAATTAAAAGACACAGACTGGCAAGTTGGATAAAGAGTCAAGACCCATCAGTGTGCTGTATTCAGGAAACCCATCTCACGTGCAGAGACACACATAGGCTCAAAATAAAAGGATGGAGGAAGATCTACCAAGCCAATGGAAAACAAAAAAAGGCAGGGGTTGCAATCCTAGTCTCTGATAAAACAGACTTTAAACCAACAAAGATCAAAAGAGACAAAGAAGGCCATTACATAATGGTAAAGGGATCAATTCAACAAGAGGAGCTAACTATCCTAAATATTTATGCACCCAATACAGGAGCACCCAGATTCATAAAGCAAGTCCTCAGTGACCTACAAAGAGACTTAGACTCCCACACATTAATAATGGGAGACTTTAACACCCCACTGTCAACATTAGACAGATCAACGAGACAGAAAGTCAACAAGGATACCCAGGAATTGAACTCAGCTCTGCACCAAGCAGACCTAATAGACATCTACAGAACTCTCCACCCCAAATCAACAGAATATACATTTTTTTCAGCACCACACCACACCTATTCCAAAATTGACCACATAGTTGGAAGTAAAGCTCTCCTCAGCAAATGTAAAAGAACAGAAATTATAACAAACTATCTCTCAGACCACACTGCAATCAAACTAGAACTCAGGATTAAGAATCTCACTCAAAGCCGCTCAACTACATGGAAACTGAACAACCTGCTCCTGAATGACTACTGGGTACATAACGAAATGAAGGCAGAAATAAAGATGTTCTTTGAAACCAACGAGAACAAAGACACCACATACCAGAATCTCTGGGACGCATTCAAAGCAGTGTGTAGAGGGAAATTTATAGCACTAAATGCCTACAAGAGAAAGCAGGAAAGATCCAAAATTGACACCCTAACATCACAATTAAAAGAACTAGAAAAGCAAGAGCAAACACATTCAAAAGCTAGCAGAAGGCAAGAAATAACTAAAATCAGAGCAGAACTGAAGGAAATAGAGACACAAAAAACCCTTCAAAAAATCAATGAATCCAGGAGCTGGTTTTTTGAAAGGATCAACAAAATTGATAGACCGCTAGCAAGACTAATAAAGAAAAAAAGAGAGAAGAATCAAATAGACACAATAAAAAATGATAAAGGGGATATCACCACCGATCCCACAGAAATACAAACTACCATCAGAGAATACTACAAACACCTCTACGCAAATAAACTAGAAAATCTAGAAGAAATGGATACATTCCTCGACACATACACTCTCCCAAGA
Source organism: Homo sapiens (assembly GCF_000001405.40). Classification (NCBI taxonomy): domain Eukaryota; kingdom Metazoa; phylum Chordata; class Mammalia; order Primates; family Hominidae; genus Homo; species Homo sapiens. The sequence continues at coordinate 36,554,331 of NC_000011.10, read as the reverse complement.
CTAAACCAGGAAGAAGTTGAATCTCTGAATAGACCAATAACAGGCTCTGAAATTGTGGCAATAATCAATAGTTTACCAACCAAAAAGAGTCCAGGACCAGATGGATTCACAGCCGAATTCTACCAGGGGTACAAGGAGGAACTGGTACCATTCCTTCTGAAACTATTCCAATCAATAGAAAAAGAGGGAATCCTCCCCAACTTATTTTATGAGGCCAGCATCATTCTGATACCAAAGCCGGGCAGAGACACAACCAAAAAAGAGAATTTTAGACCAATATCCTTGATGAACATTGATGCAAAAATCCTCAATAAAATACTGGCAAACCGAATCCAGCAGCACATCAAAAAGCTTATCCACCATGATCAAGTGGGCTTCATCCCTGGGATGCAAGGCTGGTTCAATATACGCAAATCAATAAATGTAATCCAGCATATAAACAGAGCCAAAGACAAAAACCACATGATTATCTCAATAGATGCAGAAAAAGCCTTTGACAAAATTCAACAACCCTTCATGCTAAAAACTCTCAATAAATTAGGTATTGATGGGACGTATTTCAAAATAATAAGAGCTATCTATGACAAACCCACAGCCAATATCATACTGAATGGGCAAAAACTGGAAGCATTCCCTTTGAAAACTGGCACAAGACAGGGATGCCCTCTCTCACCGCTCCTATTCAACATAGTGTTGGAAGTTCTGGCCAGGGCAATCAGGCAGGAGAAGGAAATAAAGGGTATTCAATTAGGAAAAGAGGAAGTCAAATTGTCCCTGTTTGCAGACGACATGATTGTTTATCTAGAAAACCCCATCGTCTCAGCCCAAAATCTCCTTAAGCTGATAAGCAACTTCAGCAAAGTCTCAGGATACAAAATCAATGTACAAAAATCACAAGCATTCTTATACACCAACAACAGACAAACAGAGAGCCAAATCATGGGTGAACTCCCATTCACAATTGCTTCAAAGAGAATAAAATACCTAGGAATCCAACTTACAAGAGATGTGAAGGACCTCTTCAAGGAGAACTACAAACCACTGCTCAAGGAAATAAAAGAGGACACAAACAAATGGAAGAACATTCCATGCTCATGGGTAGGAAGAATCAATATCGTGAAAATGGCCATACTGCCCAAGGTAATTTACAGATTCAATGCCATCCCCATCAAGCTACCAATGACTTTCTTCACAGAATTGGAAAAAACTACTTTAAAGTACATATGGAACCAAAAAAGAGCCCGCATCGCCAAGTCAATCCTAAGCCAAAAGAACAAAGCTGGAGGCATCACACTACCTGACTTCAAACTATACTACAAGGCTACAGTAACCAAAACAGCATGGTACTGGTACCAAAACAGAGATATAGATCAATGGAACAGAACAGAGCCCTCAGAAATAATGCCGCATATCTACAACTATCTGATCTTTGACAAACCTGAGAAAAACAAGCAATGGGGAAAGGATTCCCTATTTAATAAATGGTGCTGGGAAAACTGGCTAGCCATATGTAGAAAGCTGAAACTGGATCCCTTCCTTACACCTTATACAAAAATCAATTCAAGATGGATTAAAGATTTAAACGTTAAACCTAAAACCATAAAAACCCTAGAAGAAAACCTAGGCATTACCATTCAGGACATAGGCGTGGGCAAGGACTTCATGTCTGAAACACCAAAAGCAATGGCAACAAAAGACAAAATTGACAAATGGGATCTAATTAAACTAAAGAGCTTCTGCACAGCAAAAGAAACTACCATCAGAGTGAACAGGCAACCTACAACATGGGAGAAAATTTTCGCAACCTACTCATCTGACAAAGGGCTAATATCCAGAATCTACAATGAACTCAAACAAATTTACAAGAAAAAAACAAACAACCCCATCAAAAAGTGGGCGAAGGACATGAACAGACACTTCTCAAAAGAAGACATTTATGCAGCCAAAAAACACATGAAGAAATGCTCATCATCACTGGCCATCAGAGAAATGCAAATCAAAACCACTATGAGATATCATCTCACACCAGTTAGAATGGCAATCATTAAAAAGTCAGGAAACAACAGGTGCTGGAGAGGATGCGGAGAAATAGGAACACTTTTACACTGTTGGTGGGACTGTAAACTAGTTCAACCATTGTGGAAGTCAGTGTGGCGATTCCTCAGGGATCTAGAACTAGAAATACCATTTGACCCAGCCATCCCATTACTGGGTATATACCCAAATGAGTATAAATCATGCTGCTATAAAGACACATGCACACGTATGTTTATTGCGGCACTATTCACAATAGCAAAGACTTGGAACCAACCCAAATGTCCAACAATGATAGACTGGATTAAGAAAATGTGGCACATATACACCATGGAATACTATGCAGCCATAAAAAATGATGAGTTCATATCCTTTGTAGGGACATGGATGAAATTGGAAACCATCATTCTCAGTAAACTATCGCAAGAACAAAAAACAAACACCGCATATTCTCACTCATAGGTGGGAATTGAACAATGAGATCACATGGACACAGGAAGGGGAATATCACACTCTGGGGACTGTGGTGGGGTCAGGGGAGGGGGGAGGGATAGCATTGGGAGATATACCTAATGCTAGATGACACATTAGTGGGTGCAGTGCACCAGCATGGCACATGTATACATATGTAACTAACCTGCACAATGTGCACATGTACCCTAAAACTTAGAGTATAATAAAAAAAAAAAAAAAAAAGAAGTAATTAAGTTAAAATGAGGTCATTAGGTGAGCCCTAATTCAATATGACTGGTGATCTTAGAAAAAGAGATTAGAACACAGACACACACAGAGGGAAGACAATGTGAAAACAAAGAGAAAATATGACCATCTACAAGCCAAGGAGAGACCTCAGAGAAACCAATTCCACTAACACCTTAATCTCAAACTTCTAGCCTCCAAAATTGTGAGAAAATAAACGTTGGTTGTTTAAGCTACCTACTCTATGATACTTTGTTATGGTAGCCCTAGAAAACTAATATAGCCATTAGTGGAAACTTAGAAAATTATAATCAGAAAGACCTATGATACACACATACACATGCCAAAGGAAGGGAGTCATAAATCCAAAAACTGCCACTTTCTTATCATTGAGGCACATACAGCTAGAAGAATACCTAAAATTATCATTGTCTGAATTTACTGCACTTTTTAATCATCCAACTAAATCCTTTTGCTTTGACTGCATTCTCACTAAGCAACATTCTGACTACAATTTGATATTCTGTAGGAGAGTTGCTATCAGTTACTTTCCTATCTGTCCAATACTTTTGCCAACTGAGAACAACCTCCTCTTTCATAGTAAATCTGACGTTGCTATCAGTCATCTGGCCCTGCCTCCTTCACTGAACCAAGGCCAGCCAATCAAAAGTTCCCAATTCCTTAGATAAAGTGATGGATCCAGGGTTAGTCACATGACCCAAGTAGGCAGAGTACTTCTGTGGGATTGATATGAACAATAGAGAGAAAGGACACTTTTTTCTCTCTTAGTCTGTGATACCAAAGGATCTCATATGCTTGGAGCTGCCAAAGTCCATCATGCTATCTTATGAGAAAAACCTACATGAGAATTAAGTCCAACTAGGCAAGAGAAGGAAAAAGGCACTGAGAAAAGACTGATGACATCATTTAAACTCTTGGACACAGCTATGCCTGAAATAAACTCCAACTTCACAGGCTTCTCTGTAATAAGAGTCAAGCAATTCCATTTCCTGTTTAACCCAAGTTGAATTTGGGTCATCTAACCCTCAAAACCATAAGTCCTAACCAATATATGTGAAGATCTTTTCTTCTGCCATTGTGACTAGTCCTTAGAAGCTATGCCTTTCTAAAAATGTGGGGTCACCTCATAAGGAAAAGTTCAGGTCAATCCATGGTATGTTTGGAATTTTAGAGCCTCTTTGATGTTCTAAATAAGTCTCTTTTTTTCTCTTAGGGTAGGTCAAATTTGGATTCCTGATTAAAGCAATTAACTGACCATCTTTTGATTTGGTATACAATTCTTAACTGGAAAACCAAAAACCTTTTTTTATTATTATTATACTTTTAAGTTCTGGGATACATGTGCAGGACATCCAAGTTTGTTACATAGGTATACACTTGCCATGGTGGTTTGCTGCACCCATCAAGCCATCATCTGCATTAGGTATTTCTCCTAATGCTATCCCTCCCCAGCTCCCCAGTCCCCAGCAGGCTCCATTATGTGATGTTCCCCTCCCTGTGTCCATGTGTTCTCATTGTTCAACTCCCACTTATGAGTGAGAACATGTAGTGTTTGGTTTGCATTCCTGTGTTAGTTTGCTGAGAATGATGGTTTCCAGCTTTATCTATGTTTCTGCAAATGACATGAACTCATCCTTTTCTGTGGCTGCATAGTATTCTATGGTGTATATGTGCCACATTTTCTTTATCCAGTCTATCATTGATGGGCTTTTGGGTTGGTTCCAAGTCTTTGCTATTGTGTACAGTGCTGCAATAAACATACATGTGCATGTGTCTTTACAGTAGCATGATTTATAAATCCTTTGGGCATATACTCAGTAATGAGATTGCTGGGTCAAATGGTATTTCTGGTTCTGGATCCTTGAGGAATCACCACACTGTCTTCCACAACAGTTGAACTAATTTACACTCCCACCAACCATGTAAAAGAGTTCCTATTCTCCACATCCTCTCCAGCATCTGTTGTTTCCTGACGTTTTAATGATCGCCATTCTAACTGGTGTGAGATGGTATCTTATTGTGGTTTTCATTTGCATTTCTCTAATGACAGTGATGATGAGCTTTTGTTTGTTGGCTGCATAAATGTCTTCTTTTGAGAAATGTCTGTTCATATCCTTCGCCCACTTTTTGATAGGGTTGTTTGTATTTTTCTTTTAAAGTTGTTTAAGTTCCTTGTAGCTTCTGGATATTTGCCCTTTGTCAGATAGATAGATTGCAAACATTTTCTCCCATTCCATAGGTTGCCTGTTCACTCTGATGATAGTTTCTTTTGCTGTGCAGAAGCTCTCTAGTTTAATTAGATCCCATTTGTCAATTTTGGCTTTTGTTGCCATTGCTTTTGGTGTTTTAGTCATGAAGTCTTTGCCCATGCCTATATCCTGAATGGTATTGCCTAGGTTTTCTTCTAGGGTTTTTATGGTTTTAGGTCTTACATTTAAGCCTTTAATCCATCTTGAGTTAATTTTTGTATAAGGTGTAAGGAAGGGGTCCAGTTTCAGTTTTCTGCATATGGCTAGCCAGTTTTTCTGACATCATTTATTAAATAGGGAATCCTTTCCCCATTGCTTGTTTTTGTCAGGTTTGTCAAAGATCAGATGGTTGCAGATCTGTGGCGTTATTTCTAATGCTTCCGTTTGGTTCCATGGGTCTATATACCTGTTTTGGTACCAGTACCATGCTGTTTTGGTTCCTGTAGCCTTGTAGTATAGTTTGAAGTCAGGTAGGGTGATGCCTCCAGCTTTGTTCTTTTTGCTTAGAATTGTCTTGACCATATGGGCTCTTTTTTGGTTCCATATGAAATTTAAAGTAGTTTTTTCCAATTCTGTGAAGAAAGTCATTGGTAGCTTGATGGGGATAGCATTGAATCTATAAATTATTTTGGGCTGTATGGCCATTTTCACAATATTGATTCTTCCTATCCATGAGCATGGAATGTTTTGCCATTTGTTTGTGTCCTCTTTTATTTCCTTGAGCAGTGGTTTGTAGTTCTCCTTGAAGAGGTCCTTCACATCTCTTGTAAGTTGGATTCCTAGGTATTTTATTTTTTTTGTAGCAATTGTGAATGGGAGTTCACTCATGATTTGGCTCTCTGTTTGTCTATTATTGCTGTATAGGAATGCTTGTGATTTTTGCACATTGATTTTTGTATCCCGAGACTTTGCTGAAGTTGCTTATCAGCTTAAGGAGATTTGGGCTGAGACGGAGTTTTCTAAATGTACAATCATGTCATCTGCAAACAGAGACAATTTGACTTCCTCTCTTCCCATCTGAATACGCTTTATTTCTTTCTCTTGCCTGATTGCCTTGGCCAGAACTTCCAATACTATGTTGAATAGGAGTGGTGAGGGAGGGCATCCTTGTCTTGTGCCAGTTTTCAAAGGAAATGCTTCTAGCTTTTGTCCATTCAGTATGATATTGGCTCTGAGTTTGTCATAAATAGCTCTTATTACTTTGAGATACATTCCATCAATACCTAGTTTATTGAGAGTTTTTAGCATGAAGGGGTGTTGAATTTTATGAAGGCCTTTTCTGCATCTATTGATATAATCATGTAGTTTTTGTCGTTGGTTCTGTTTATGTGAGGGATTACGTTTATTGATTTGCGTATGTTGAACCAGCATTGCATCCCAGGGATGAAGCTGACTTGATCATGGTGAATAAGCTTTTTGATGTGCTGCTGTATTAGGTTTGCCAGTATTTTACTGAGGATTTTCACATCGATGTTCATCAGGGGTATTGGCCTGAAATTTTCTTTTTTTGTTGAGTCTCTGTCAGGTTTTGGTATCAGAATGATGCTAGCCTCATAAAATGAGTTAGGGGGGATTCCCTCTTTTTCTATTGTTTGGAATAGTTTCAGAAGGAATGACACCAGCTCCTCTTTGTACCTCTGGTAGAATTTGGCTGTGAATCCATCTGGTCCTGGACTTTTTTTGGTTGGTAGGCTATAAATTACTGCCTCAATTTCAGAATTTGTTATTGGTCTACTCAGGGATTTGGCTTCTTCCTGGTTTAGTCTTGGGAGGGTATATGTGTCCATGAATTTATCCATTTCTTCTAGATTTTCTAGTTTATTTGCATAGAGGTGTTTATAGTATTCTCTGATGGTAGTTGTATTTCTGTGGGATCAGTGGTGATATCCACTTTATCATTTTTTATTGTGTCTATTTGATTCTTCTCTCTTTCCTTCTTTATTAGTCTGGCTAGCAGTCTATCCATTTTGTTGATCTTTTCAAAAAACCAGCTTCTGGATTCATTGATTTTTTAGAGTTTGTGTGTCTCTATCTCCATCAGTTCTGCTCTGATCTTAGTTATTTCTTGTCTTCTGCTAACTTTTGAATTTGTTTGTTCTTGCTTCTCTAGTTCTTTTTATTATGATGCTAGGGTGTCGATTTTAGATCTTCCCCACTTTCTCCTGTGGGCATTTAGTGTTATAAATTTCTCTCTAAACACTGCTTTAGCTCCAACCTAGCATGACAGGCCAACATTCAAATTCAGGAACTACAGAGAACACCACAAAGATACCCCTTGAGAAGAGCGACCCCAAGACACATAATTGTCAGATTCACCAAGGTTGAAATGAAGGAAAAAATGTTAAGGGCAGCCAGAGATAGAGGTCGGATTACCCACAAAAGGGAAGGCCATCAGACTAAGAGCGGATGTCTCCACAGAAACCCTGCAAGCCCGAAGAAAATTCTTTTCTTCATTCTTAAAGAAAAGAATTTTCAAATCGGCCAAACTAAGCTTCATACGTGAAAGAGAAATAAAATCCTTTACAGTCAAGCAAATGCTGAGAGATTTTGTCACCACCAGGCCTGCCTTACAAGAGCTCCTGAAGGAAGCACTAAATATGGAAAGGAAAAACCAGTACCAGCCACTGCAAAAACATACCAAATTGTAAAGTCCATTGACACTATGAAGAAACTGCATCAACAAATGGGCAAAATAACCAGCTAGCATCAAAATGACAGGATCAAATTCACACATAACAATATTAACCTTAAATATAAACAGGCTAAATGCCCCCAATTAAAAGACAGACTGGCAAATTGGATAAAGAGTAAACACCCATCGATGTGGCATATTCAGGAGACCCATCTCATGTGCAAAGACACACATAGACTCAAAATAAAGGGATGGAGGAAGATTTACCAAGCAAATGGAAAGCAAAAAGAAAGCAGGGGTTGCAATCCTAGTCTCTAATAAAACAGACTTTAAACCGACAAAGATCAAAAAATACAAAGAAGAGCATTACATTATGGTAAGGGGATCAGTGCAACAAGAAGAGCTAACTATCCTAAATATATATGCAGTCAATACAGGAGCACCCAGATTCATAAGCAAGTTCTTAGATACCTACAAAGAGGCTTAGAATCCCACACAATAATAGTGGGAGACTTTAACACCCCACTGTCAATATTATATCAACAAGACAGAAAATTAACAAGGATATTCCCGATTTGAACTCAGCTCTGGACCAAGTGGACCTAATAGACATCTACAGAACTCTCCACCCCAAATCAACAGACTATACATTCTTCTTAGCACCTATTCTAAAATTGACCACATAATTGGTAGTAAAACAGTCCTCAGCAAATGCAAAAGAATGGAAATCACAACAAACAGTCTCTGAGACCACAGTGCAATCAAATTAGAACTCAGGATTAAGAAACTCATTCAAAACTGCACGACTACACGGAAACTGAACAACCTGCATCTGAATGACTGCTGGATAAGTAATGAAATTAAGACATAAGTTCTTTGAAACCAATGAGAACAAAGACACAACGTACCAGAATCTCTAAGACACAGCTTAAACTTTATTTTTTTAAGTTTATAATGTTAATTGCATCATGGTTTGTTATAATCTGTTGAAAATGGCCTAAATGTCTGCCAATAGAAGAACAGAAGCTGGAAAAAGTACAAAGTGATCCAACTTGTATGGACAGCAATTTGGCAATAATTGTCAAAATTACATATTCACTGTTTGTCTTCTAGGGCTTTTGTGACAAAATATCACAGTCTGGGTGGCCTAAATAACAGAAATTTATTTTCTCACAGTTCTGGAGGTCACAGTGTCAGGAGAATTGGTTTCTGGTGAGACCTCTCTCCTTGGCTTGCTGATGACCATCTTGCTGTGCCCTCATATGGTCTTTTCTCTATGACTCACTTTCTTGGTGTCTCTTTCTCTTCTTACAAATGTGACACCAGTCACATTGAATTCAAGCCCACCCTTATAACCTCCCTTAATCTTAACTCCCTCTTCATATATCCTATCTTTAAACACAGACAGATTGGAGGTTAAAGCTTTAACATGTGAATTTTGGGGGGACACAATTCAGCCCATGCACTCACTGTTTGATCTACAAATTCCACATCTATTTAATTTATCCCAAGAATATTCAGATATACTTTAATGCAAAAAAAGATATGTGTAAAAAATTATTTATTGAAGTTCTGTTTGTAATAATAAAATACTGAGAACAGCTAAAGTTGTCACTGGATAAATAAATTCTAATCTATCTTTTCAACGGAATGTAATGCAACCATTGTATTAGTCCATTCTCACGCTGCTATAAAGAACTACCTGAGACTGGGTAATTTACAAAGAGAAGAGGTTTAATTGACTCACAGTTCCACACGGCTGAAGAGGCCTCAGGAAACTTACAATCATGGCAGAAGGCAAAGGGGAAGCATGGTTGCAGAAAAGAGAGAACGAGGGGGGATCCGCCACACACTTTTAAACCATCAGATCTCATGAGAACTCCTTCACAATCATGAGAACAGAATGGGGGAAGCCCCGCCATGATCCAATCACCTCCCACAGGGTCCCTCCCTCGACACATGAGGATTACAATTCTAGACGAGATTTGGGTGAGGACATGTAGCCAGACCACATCAACCATTAAAAAGAAAAAGAAAACTACTTAAATGCAACGGTCTTCAAGAGTTATTGTTAGTGGGAAAAAGCAGGATACAGAACAATGTACATGACATCATTTGGGTGAAAAGAGAGGGAAAATATAGAAACATATATTTTGCTTATATATGCATCAGATATCTCTGGAAAGATGCACAAGGACCTGTTAACACTGGCTGTCTTCAGAAAGGGGAACTAGACTAGAGAGAAATTCTTAGATTCCTCTGGTACCATTTCAATTTTGAAAGGTTCTAGGGTGGAATTCGTTCCTTATCTCCAGCCCCTAGAGCTGCTTTCTTTGTGTTCTATCAGAGTGGCTACACCACTCCAATCTCTGCCTCAGTAGTCTCCTTGTCGACCCTTCTATGTTAATAATCCCCCTTCTTCTCTGATAAGAACACTTAGGATTGTATTTGGGGTCCATCTGGATGATGCAGGACAACCTCCTTAACTTAAAATCTTTAACTTGATCACATCTGCCATCTCTGCCACGTTTATAGGTCCCAGGGATTAAGCCCTGATATCTCTGAGGGCCATTATTCAGCCAATTGTACCTACCCTAAAAAAGTGGCTAAAGGAAGTTTACTGGTTCATGAATTGTGGAAAATGTTCCATATGTATATAATTTGTTAATAAAGGAAACCAGGTAGGGCTATGAGAGAATTCTCTGTACTATCTTCTCAATTTCTCTGTATCTTTGAAACTCTTTTTTAATGTCTATTAAATTGGAAAACATCAAACATGCAACTACCATAAAACCAAGGAATTGCGCTTCTGGCCATTTATCCCAGAGAAATGAATACTATGTCCACATAAAAACTTGTCCACAAATCTTTATAGCATCTTCTAATTAGTCTGTTGACACTCATTACACAGAAAAGAAGTTCCCCCCAAAAAGGTTGATTTGCCTTAACCTAAGCCTTCTGAATTTAGTGTATTCCATAAATAATAAATCTGGACTAAGAGGTAAGTCATTTTATTCCCGCATGTTATCAATATTTCTTGAGCTAGAGAAGGAGGTTAGAAGGAGAGATGGAAGAGAGAGGCCAAACAAGAGAGAGGCTGGTAAGTGCCTCCAAGAAGGGCCCCTGTGCCCAAGCTGCACTTCTAACTCAGTCAAGAGCAGGGTAAGTGCCACAACAGAACCACCTCCCAATAAGCTTTGGGATCTGAGGGCGGGGAGGGTCTGATTTTTCGGGTAGAGCCTGGAAAAGTGAGCAAACCCCACAGTTCTGCTATGGCATGCCGGCATGTGGCCTGGCAGCAGCAGAGGCAGTAAAGCCGTGTGGGGTACAGGGCATCAGAGGGATGAGGCAAGCATACCGTGGGTTCTCTGATGCTGGACTGGTGAAAAGGACACAGAAGTAGTTGAGAGGCAACCTCACACTTCCAAAGAGAAGGAGGAGGCAGAGGTACAGTCAGATGACCAGGGTGATGTCCACAGAGACTGGGGTCTAATCAAGGCTATACCTAAGACCCTGAGAGGGTCAGCCAGCATCTGAGACCCTGAGAGGATGTTAGCCAGTTCCCTATCTGCCATCCCTGAGCCATAATGTCAGAAATGTAGGAGTCACCAAGGAAGAAGGAGATGGGGGAAGAAGATTCAGTAGTGACTCGTTCAAATCTGAAGTGACAGAGAAAACGAGGCACTGATTAGATTAATTTTTCCTGCCTTTGAGTTGATGGGGATTCCTAATGGAGTTTCAGCTGGCTTAGGAAAATAAAGAAATGGACTTATTTGCACAACTGAGATCTGTAAATATTTTGCATGTGAATTTTATATATAAGGTTTTTTTCTATTTTTTTTACACTGGAGGTATATAACATATAGAGCAATAATTATGTGATTGATTAAAAGGAAAAAATTCAAAACATGGTTTATCGCCCCAAGCTCAACAACCATTGACACCAAGCTTTATTGCCTGCATGTGGCACGGCTAGTTCATATGACTGAAAGTCCCCTGTTTTCTGTACCATTCAATGCCTCGGAGGCCACACTCCCAATTCTCCTCTCACTGTTCTTCTCCCTGTCTTCTGGGAACAAGCAAAGGAGTGGCTGGTCAGAGACCTTTTCTGTACAGCAGGCATGATCCAGATCCATAGAGATGCCAAGCTCTGGTTACTTCTGGGGCAGCCCCTCTTCCTCTTGGGCATCTTGGTCATAACAGATGCCACTAGTTCACTGTCTATCCCAACTTTCCCAACTCAGCCTCTCAGCAAAACATTCCAAAAGAGGCCTCAGTTTCTTTGTGTGTAGAAGGAAAGAGGAGGAGATAGAGGTCGATAATAAACTATGCAAGCATCTCTATGTTACCCTGTGTACAACCTTCACAATCATTCCCTTATCCAGATATCACCTGCAGCGTTATGTATTTAATATTTGTCTTTAAAGAGACTCACTTTGTTCAGCTAAATTAATTCATATAAAGAAGGACTTTTATATGATATCAAATGGTAGTAGAAGAAATACAATGTAGGAGAGAGAATGCTCTCTAATAAAGAGAGGGAAGATAGTGAATGTGAGAAACAAACTCATCCGTCCAAACCCTAACAATGAACTCAGAGGCCTCAAGAACAGTGAAAGTGAGACTTTTAATGACAGTCTTGCAAGATCGGGTGTCTGATAGGCAGGCACACCCAGCACAGTTTCAACAAGCAATTTATCCCCTAGTGCGCAGGTCCCTCCCACTGCTCCTCATAGGCTGAGTACTATGGGGTCACAATCTTCCCAGATATTGCCTATTGATAGTTGGGTAGGGGCGGTAGGTGGTTTTTTTTTAGGGTCGTCTTGCTGCATTTTGTTGCAGCCCACAATGTATTGCAATCCTAGTTAGCTCAGAAGCTCTTCAAGTATTTGACTTATAACCTAAGTAGCTGGGAAGGCTGATTAAGAACAGACGGAATGAACTACTTTGCAGGCTAGCACGCTTTTATATTAGACTAAACTTTTGGTTCGGGTGAGGGCAACTAAGAGTGGGGGCAACAGGGAGAAGGGAGAGACCAACAAGCAGGCATCGGCTATCCAAGCAAGGGCCTAGTATTTCCTGTTTCTTATGTCGTTTGCTGACCTAAGCCAATTCAAGGCACTTTGTCTTGGATATGGACCACTGTATACATTATTTCCTTTAGTGAATATAAACAGAAGTGTCAAAAGGCCTACCAGCACTAAACAGATACTTTCTCCATCCCAAAACCAAAAAGATGGAAAGAATATTGGAAATGCAATTCAGTGTTAATGTGTGTTCAACATTAATATATGTCCATGTGAAATCATCTTGTGCACCATCTGAAATCATTTCATGTGCCACAGTAAGACTTTGTGAAGCACCAAAGAATATGACGTCTAAGAATCCTCCCAATGTGACCTGTGTGTGTAACGAGTCATTTCACATCTGTCACTGATCAGCTGACAATGGAAAGTCAATTCAGGAGTACGCCCAGTGGGTGGCAGGATTGAACCGAATGCTGCAGATGCAGGACTTTCTTAATATAGCTCCATTGTTTACAGCCCGCAGCTGTTGTTTACAGCTCAGCACCACCCTTCCTCCTCACCTGCTATTTGTCTACATCTGCCTCTAGGTCCCTGAGGAAAACAACAGACCATCATATCATGTCATGTGGAAACCGGAACTGGGGACTCCTAAATACTCATGTCTGTTGGGAGAGGGCCCCAATCCCTCTTTTCTCACACCTTGTGGAATCTGAATTCACGTTTAAACCTAGGTAGGAAACAGAAAGGATCAAGATCACTGTGCCCCTGAGTCCAATTTGAGGATTTAAACCAATGAACTGTTGAAGTCAAAATAAAAAATGGAGAGACGAATCTCTGAAATGTAAGATTTTATTTGGGAAGAAAGAACCACAGTTCGGACCATACACGGAGACTGGGCAGTCTTTGGTATGTCCAAAGAACAAAGAGAAGATTGGAGGTTTCATTTTAAAAAACGAAGAAAAGAGGCCAGACGCGTTGGCTCACGCCTGTAATCCCAGCACTTTGGGAGACCAAGGAGGGCAGATCACGAGGTCAGGAGATCGAGACCATCCTGGCTAACACGGTGAAACCCCGTCTCTACTAAAAATCCAAAAAAAATTAGCCATGCGTGGTGGCGGGCGCCTGTAGTCCCAGCTACTCGGGAGGCTGAGGCAGGAGAATGGCGTGAACCCGGGAGGTGGAGCTTGCAGTGAGCCGAGATCATGCCACTGCACTCCAGCCTGGATGACAGAGAGAGGCTCCGTCGCAAAAATAAATAAATAAATAAAATAAAGAAAAGAAATGTTAAGTATTGCTCTTTGAAAAGTTCACTGGCACTAGTAAGGCTCTGGGGGTCTGGCAAGCTTCAATTGGCAAGTGACATCGGTGAGTAAAATTAATCTTAGAGCTGTAGCAGGTTGTCTCAGAAACCATTAGACAAAACTGGTTGAAGATTACAGCAGGCAATTTCAGTAGGCAGGTTTGCAGAGAATTACATTCTTGGAGCAATGTTATGTGTTCTGACTGCTTCTCCCCCCGGCTTCTCGACTCTGTTTTAGTTAGGTATAACAAGAATGACTCAATTTGTAGGATCAATGTTCACACGACCAGCCCTCTAGCACTTTTAAGCATAAACATTGTGCTAGACAGGAATTATAGAACACAATAACCTGCTGCTTGCAAGCTACAGGTTAATTGAGCAGATGATATTAAAGCTATTGCTATTAATGGATGGAACAAAATAGAACATAACTGCTAAGTGACATGACAGAAACTAAAAGAAATGTTTCAGAGGAGATTCATAGAAGACCAAATGAATTCTTCTTTCCCAAATGTCCCTTTAAAATACCTGTGATTTACATTCAAAAGGAGAGAAAATTTCAGCAGTACTTGATATTAGTAATAAAAACTGGGGCTGGGTGCAATGGCTTATTCCTGTAACCTCAATATTTTGGGAGGCCGAGGTGGGCAGATCACCTGAGGTTAGGAGTTCAAGGCCAGCCTGGCCAATGTAGTGAAACCCTGTCTCTACTAAAAATATCGCCAGGCGTGGTGGCAGGTACCTGTAGTCCCAGCCACTCTGGAGGCTGAGGCAGGAGAATCGCTTGAACCTGGGAGACAGAGGTTTCAGTGAGCTGAGATGGTGCCACTGTACTCCAGCCTGGGCAACAGAGCAAGACTCTGTCTCGAAAAAACTAAAAACAAAAAAAACTGGACATATGCAAGATCCCCAGAAGAAGTCTCTAAAGATTAGCAGATGATGGGTAGACAGAGTCTATATTAGTCACCTAGGGCTGCCATAACAAAACACCACAGACTGGATGGCTTAAACAAGCATTTATTTCTGACACTTCCAGAGGCTGGAAGACAAAGACCAAAGTGTCAGCAGGCCTGGTTTCTCTTGAGGCCTCTCCCTTTGGGTTGCAGATGACTGCCTTCTCGCTGTGTTCTTCCATAGCCCTCTGTGCATGCATCCCTGGTGGTGTTTCTCTTTCCTTATAAGGATACCAGTCTTATTGGGTTAAGACCCCACCCTTATGACCGCCTTTAATCTTAATTACCTTCTAAAAGCCTGATCTCTAAATACAATAACACTGGGGTTGGGCTTCAATGTGAGGGGTACACAAATGTGAGGGGTACACAATTCAATCCACAAGAGTCTCAATCCATTCATCAATTTTTGCAGAGAAAATTGCCTGGAAGAAAAACAGAAGAAAAAGACTGAGAAGTAAGGGGAGGGAGAAAAGAGAAAGTGCATTAATGATTGAATTGAGGCCTCTTCCTGAGCGACAGGACAGCCCCATGGACAGGTTCCAGCTTGGAGATGGGTGGGAAGGGAGGTGACCCTGATGAACTGGGCAGCCCAGAGCAAAAAGGCTTTGGAGCATGAAGCTGAATTGAAAATCCGCCTCAGATAAGAAGCTGTCACAAGTATTTGAGAAGCAGACTTCAAAGGCAAGAATAAAAATTTATTTCAGCCACGCATCACTGCACTAACCAAGAAATCAGCCAGAGGAAAAAAGGTTAAAGACTCCTCAAAAAACCGCTCGAAAACTTCACTGTGCCTTTTCGTAACTGCAGCTTTAGACGCATGTAAGATTTATGCTGAGTTCAATGAACATGTATTTGTTTTACCATCTAAAAGAAAATGCGTGAAACTAAAAGGAACCTGCAAAGTGTACAACAAACCAAAAACCTACCCCATTTGCTCTTATTCTTCCAAATAATAACCTATCGAATAGAGCAAGAACAATTTCAATGTGAGTTTGTTTGCTTTTGCATTTGGAAAGAAAGCTAGCATTGCCTTTTCTATATGTGGTAGATTTGGGCTTTACACCCAAGCAGGAGCTGCAGCTAGCATTTGGGACTGCAGCTGGCCCCTGGATGGCACCCTGAATGGTGATAGGAGAAATAGGCAGCATACTGTTCTTTAACACTACTAGCTCTACATAGAATTCTCCTCTTTCAAGGATCAGTAATAGAACAAAATCAATGTGATATCTATGAAGAAATTCTACAGTACAAGGAAAAACATTTTTAATGACCAAATACTTTAGTAGAAAAGGCTTTTCTAAAACAGAAGAAAAATTGCAACATTTTTACTTTTGTTCCTATAAGGACTTGCCTCCATTGAACAAGTAAGGGCCTTGGTAAGAAGATCAGCCAAGAAGAAAGTACAATGAAACTAACACCCAAGCAGAAGGGATAAAATAAATTTATGCTTTAAAAGACAATTTTACAACGTAATGCAGAAGACAAACTGGAGGAACGATCTAAGATTGCATAAGAAATGAATAAAGAGATGAAAATAATCAGGGAAAAAAATGGAGATAGATACTATAGGATAAGTGAAATGGTGAAAAGACATCCAAGAAATGGTGGGTGTTCCCCCAAAGATAACTGAATCAAATCAAATGAAATGTAATGCAATCATTATTCAAGATGTAATTAAAGTCAGTTTTCCAGAGCTAAAACAAAGCTTTAGCTTTTTAGGGCTTATCACCATACTCTCATAAAGATAATGATCAGAAATCTCCTCAAGGCATAAGTTATTAAAATTTTAAAATTTAAAGAATAACAAAGGATCTTGAAAAAATCTTTTTCAAAGAAAAATACTTACCTTTGAAGCACAAAGATAAGGAAGTATGATAATATAAAATGACTTTTCTATGCTATTTGATATTTTATTTGATTTCTTCTGTTTAAGCTTTACAGAGGTATAACTGATAGATTAAAAAAATATAAATTGATGCACAAAAATGTACACATTTGATGAGTTTTGACATGTATATACACCCATGATACCATCACCACAATCAAGACCCTAAATATGTTTATCACCTCCGAAAATTTTCTTATGTTCTTTTACATTTTGTTTTGTTTTGCTTTTGTGTGAAGAACACTTAACACGAGGCCTAAACATATTTATTTAAACATATTTTAAAGTGCACAATACCATATTGTTAACTATAGATACTAGGTTGTACAACAGATCTCTAGAACTTACTCATCTTACATAACTGAGGCTCAACAGGTATAAAGATTTTTTATTTCTACTAAAGTTAGGAAAATGATTTCTGCCTCTGAATTGTTTTATTGTTGTTGTTTGTTTTGTATTTAAAGTGAATATATTGGCCGGGCACGGTGGCTCACTCCTGTAATCCCAGCACTTTGGGAGGCCGAGGCAGGTGGATCACAAGGTCAGGAGATCGAGACCATCCTGGCTAACACGGTGAAACCCTGTCTCTACTAAAAATACAAAAAATTAGCCGGGCGTGGTGGCAGGCGCCTGTAGTCCCAGCTACTCGGGAGGCTGAGGCAGGAGAATGGGGTGAACCCGGGAGGCGGAGCTTGCAGTGAGCTGAGATCGTGCCACTGCACTCCAGCCTGGGCAACTGAGCAAGACTCCGTCTCAAAAAATAAATAAATACATAAGTAAATTTACTTTATATATGTAGTATAAATATAAAATTTTTATTTACTTTATAAAATATAAATATTTTATTTACTTTATATATCCTCATCCTTTCACCTACCTATGCTATTTTTCTTCTTATTTGTCTTTTAAAAAACTTTGAAGTATATTACACATACAAAATGTTTTTATGCACAGTACGATTAATGTTTATAAAGCAAATACCCATAGAACTACCACACAAATCAAGAAATAGTATC
Source organism: Homo sapiens (assembly GCF_000001405.40). Classification (NCBI taxonomy): domain Eukaryota; kingdom Metazoa; phylum Chordata; class Mammalia; order Primates; family Hominidae; genus Homo; species Homo sapiens. The sequence continues at coordinate 36,536,515 of NC_000011.10, read as the reverse complement.
TTACCAGCATCTTAGATGCTCCTTTTTACTCACATCTTAAGAGTGAATGCTTCTTGGTTTTATTTTAGACTTTTAATACCTATAAATACCTCCCTAAGAGCAAGATTTTTGAAGTTTGTATAAATAAAAGAGCAATAAATTTTTTTTCTGGCTTCTTTCATTCAACATGATGGTTAAGATCCAGCCCATTTGTTGTGTATAGGTCTATTTTAGTTGGTTTCATTGCCATATTGTATTGTATAATATATCAAAATTTACTTAAGCATTTTACAGTGGGTAGCCATTTGAATTGTTTCCAGTTTTAACTAATAGTACTTCATTTCATTAGATTTTTTTAAGTTGTTTACAATTGGATTTGATGTTTTAATCCTATCCTTCCCTTGTAATAGGTGACTTCCATCCATTTATATTTCTTACTACAAATGATTCACTTGTTTCTATTTTTTATTACTTTAGCTTCCCTAAGAAGTGAAAGACTCACCTAGTTAACTCTGCAGGAAAGAAAGAGAACTTGATAGATATCCACCTGGTCTAGCAGATCTGAAAGAGATGAATGCCTGATAGAGACCAGAAACTAAATTATACATAATCCACAATGATGAGCTAACAATAATTATTTTTCATGGGTTAATGATATAGCATTGAAATATTTAAAACAAAAAAAAGACTATAAATGGACAGAAATTCACTTGTAATAAGAAAACACACTACTATGTAATAAATTATATGTGTGTATCTATTTATTTATTTTATTTATTTATTTATTTATTTGAGAGGGAGTCTTGCTCTGTTGCCCAGGCTGGAGTACAGTGGCTCTATCTTGGCTCACTGCAACATCCACCTCCCAGGTTCAAGTGAATTCTTCTGCCTCAGCCTCCTGAGTAGCTGGGATTACAGGCACACGCCACCATGCCTGGCTAATTTTTGAATTTTTAGTAAAGACAAAGTTTCACCATGTTGGCCAGGCTGGTCTCGAACTCCTGAGCTCAGGTGATTTGCCCACCTTGGCCACTCAAAATGCTGGGATTATCACATCTGGCCTATATGTGAGTATATATTTAAACAATGCATATATTATAATTAACATGTTGAACTTGAAATAGATATATCTCAGACTTTACATCCTATTTTTTAAAAATGCTGACAACTTCTTTCAGGAATCCATGGAATTGTTGAACTTGAAATAGATATATTTCAGACTTTACATCCTATTTTTAAAAAATGCCAACAACTTCTTTCAGGAATCCATGGAATATTTACAAAAATTGATCACATGATAGACCTTGATGCATTCCAAAATGACACAGAATCCATGGAATTGTTGAACTTGAAATATATATATTTCAGACTTTACACCCTATTTTTAAAAAATGCCAACAACTTCTTTCAGGAATCCATGGAATATTTACAAAAATTGATCACATGATAGACCTTGATACATTCCAAAATGACACAATTTTATGGAACAATCCTCCAGTCAAAATGTAATATAATGTAGTCAAAGGTAAAGAGAAAATTGTGATGATCTAAATGTTTTAAAACATAACCCTAAATGGCTATTAGATCAAAGAAAGAAGTAAAATTATAATTTTAGTCCATTTACAGGGCAACACTACCACATTAGAACTGGTAGGATACCCCAAAAGCCTTATGAAAATGTACATTGATAGACCTAAATGTATAAGTTTTTAAAATATAAATGAAATAGGCATACAACTGAAAATTTTTAAAGGCTTAAAAATTAAATAAATTTTAAAAAGGAAAGAAAAATGAAAGGAGAAAATAATTGTGGTAGACACATTGATTGCAAAACAGTCACAATTCTTCACCCTTCCCTACATCTTTTGCAATGTAACTTTGCACATCCTCTCAACAAGAAGTAGAATCTATTTCCCCACTCCTTGATTCTAGATTGGCCTTCTGACATGCTTTGGTCAATAAAATGTGGCAGAAGTGAGGATTGCCATGGCAGTGGAAAATATCCAGTATGGCAAATTGTACATCCTAAAGTGACACATGTGACTTCTGCTCACGTTTCACTGGGAAAACAAGTCATGTGACCACACCTAACTCCAAGGGGGCAGGACAGTACAGCCTTCCCATGGCCAGAAGGAAAACTAGAAATAATTGGTGAGCAAAACGGTGTTTATTATTGTATGAATAAGCTTTGTTTGTTTCTTGTTGCTTTCTTTTTCTCTTTCTCCACTAGAGCGTACTTTTCATGAAAGCAAGGATCTTGCCTGTTCCTGCTGTATCATACAAAATTATTTGGTAATGAAACTGAAAATTTTATTAATGTAGAAAAATTTCTAAGACTATAATTTGAATTGCTTATAATTTAAATTGCTTAAGAAGTAGCCTGTCTGAAGAGAGCAATTATGGAATAATTATAAATATGAAATAGATATAAATATTTAAAAATTACCTCCAAAAAGTCTTCAGGGATCAATATTTTTTTTAACCAATGAGTTTTTCAAAATTCTTAGGAAAAGCTAATTATAATGCTACATTCATTTGATTTAGGTTATTTAAAGAGCTAAAAATACCTTCAGGAATCAAGTGTAAGCCTTTACCAAAACCTGAAAAAAGTAATATTACTTTAAAAAGTGGAAATTTTATCTGGATGCTTGGATGGATATTAGGACATCTGTTAGTAACTAATAAATAATTAAATATAATTAATATCATACATACGATCACCTTAATCAAAAGTGAAGGATGCTTATCTCAATATCAATAATAATGATTACTATCGCAAATCAAACATCAGCCAGAATACTACTTAACAAGGAAAGAATAGAGGCATCCCCATTTAAAAAACAGAGGGAGATAAGGGAAACAAAACACTTTCACCATTATTCAACATTGTCTAAACATTTTAGCTGAGATCATGACATGAAACAGAACTAAAAAATAATCCATGAAAAGGAAGAGACAAAATTATCATTATTCTTCTTCCATTTGGTTGCCTATTTAGACATTTTATGAATAAACTGAAAAGTCTTTGAGTTCACAAAAGTTTAGTAAAGGGCATATAAAATTAATGCCCCTGAATGTTAAGTAGGTGCACTGTGCACTGCTTACCAATATGCCTCAGTTCAATTCGACAGAACACAGGCACACACCCGTTACATGAATTGGGTTTATTACTTACAGATGGGCAACAAGGGCAATATAAGCTGAGGATTCATTGTAAGCTGATCTCGCAAGGCTCAGGAAAGTTGCCCAGGGCAAATGGAATCTTATTTACGAGTACTCAACTAGCACAGCAGCTGAGGGACCCCAGAAAGTAGCACCCCCTCCTCGGGTTTTATACCATGGGGTCACATCACATGCTGGGCCTACGTGTTGAAGGACATCCTGTTTCTATGGGGAACCAGAACAGAACCGAGGTTGTTGTGGCTAGTTCCCTCTTATCTCAGGATGTTGCATTCCTAGCACATTCTGCAGCTACTCTTGAGAACTACACGTGAAAAAAAGGGAACAATTGGGCTGGTCCAACCTCCCAGAAAACTGTTCTGCAACTATAATAGCTTCTTGCATATGCAACAGAATATATACAGCAGTTTTACCCTATACATTTATACCTATGATAAAGTTTATACATTAGGCATAGTAAGATATTAACAATAAACTAATAATAAAATAGAACTATAACAATGTACTGTAATAAAAGTTAATGTAAATGTGCTGTCTGTCTCTCTCTCTCTCTCTCAAAATATCTTATTGTACTGTACCTACTTTTCTTCTTGAGATCTTTTAAACTCATAACACAGGTGGCTGGCTAAGTGACTGAAGGGCAGGCAGCATATACAGCAGCAAATAAGCTGAGCAAAGGGACCAGGTAAGATTTCATCACACTTCTCAGAACAGTGTGCAATTTAAAATTTATAAATTGTTTATTTCTGGAATTTTCTATTTAATATTTTTGGGCCACGGTTAATCATGGATAACTGAAACCACAGAAAGCAAAACCACAGATAAGGTGGATTTCTGTACTAGAGACAAATTTCTGGAAAGCACTGTCATAGATGAAGTTATTAAAATTATGCTATTGAATGAAATAGAAAAGTGTTCATAATATATTGCTAGATGGAAAGAGTATATCATATACTAATGTGGTACCATTTTTGTAAAATATAAATATAGATATTTAAAAATGATCAACATAAAATTAACACATATAATACTTCCCACAAAACACATAAAAATATTCCAGACAGACTGGAATGACAGAGATAAAATATTAACACATAAAATATTAACACATAGTATCTCTAGTTTAGAATATTAAAAATAACTTTCAGTTTTTTCTCCATATCTTTCTTTTTTTCCAATATTTCTAGTGATTTTCTATTCAAAATAATATATTGAAAGAAAATTCAAAAGGAGATATATTTGGGGAGTATATCTCAGTAATAAATGCAATAAAAACATGAAATATCTAGAAATAATCTTAAAAAGAAATATATATAACTGCCCTAGAAATCACATTACTTTCCTGAGAGATAAATGGAGAATTAAGAAATGAAAAGGTATTTTGTGGATAAAAATATATCAGCATTCCTTAATCTAAAACGCAACATCATGCTAAATGGAAAAAAAAATTAGAAGCATTCCATTAAAGTCAGAAGGAAGAAGGAAGACTTCCATTTGCATTGCAATAAAGTATAAAATATTTTGAAAGTTTCTAGCTCACGTCATTTGATAAGAAAAAAGGTTATTGAATGGCCACAGGAAGTTCTTTAAACAGAAAGGAAATGGCAAAGTATCTTGTACCATCAGAAAAAAACACATGGTAACTAAAATATCAGTAAATACAATAGACTTCCCTTCTCCTCTTGCGTTTTCTAAATTATGTTTGATGGCGAAAGCATCACCAAAATTATGTTTGATGGTGAAATGTAAAGGAGTTACGTTTTCTACATTACGCTCAAATTAGTAAAATGATACCAGTAGACTGTATAGACTGTTTATATAAATCATATATATACATATATATAATGTAATGCCTAGAGCAAAAACGTTAAAAATCTATACAAAAAGACATACCACTATATAAAACATCAAAATGGAATTCTAACGAATGTTTAAGCAATTCACAGAAAAAAGAAAACAGAGAAATGAAACACAGAGATAAAACAACTAATAAAATAGCAGACTTAAGCCATAACATACCAATAATTACATTAAGAAAATGGCCTTAATATACCAATTACAAGACAGAGATTGACAAAGTGGATTAAAAAACATTCAACTATATGTTGTCCATATGAAACCCATTTCAAATATAATAATAAGGACAGGTTGAAAGTAAAATAATGGGAAATTTTTCATGTAAACATTAACCAAAAGAAAGCAAGAGTAAGTAGCTATATTAATAGCAGATAAAATAGATGCAAAGTAAAGAAAATTACCAAACACAAAGAGGGAGCTTATATAATGCAAAAAAAAACCCTTAATCTATCAAGATGATGCAACAATTCTAAATGTGTATGCACCAAACAAATGTGTATGCATCAAACAATGTGTTGAAAAATAAGTGAAACAAAAACTGAAAAAACTGAAAGGAGAAATAGACAAATCCACAGTTATGGTTGAAGACTTTAACACCCTTCTCTGAGAAGTTGATGTAATACCTAGACAGAAAATTGGCAAGGATATAAGAACTCAACAACACCATCAACAAGTAAGAGCTAAACAACATTTACAGAGCACTCCATCCAACAACAGCAGAATACACATTCTTTTGAAGGCCCTAAGGAAAATATATCAAGAAAAACCATAAAGAAACTCGACAAATTTCAAAGAATCAAAGCATATCAAGTGCGTTCTCTGACTAAAATGAAGTTAAACTAGAAATCAATAATAAAAAGTTAGAAAAAAATATCCAAACACTTTGAAAGTAAACAACATACTCCTAAGTAACCAGTGGGTCAAAGAAAAAATTTCAAAGAAATTTTAAAAATACATTAGACTGAATGAAAATGAGAATACAACTTATAACTCATAGGACACAACTAAAGCAGTGATAAGAGGGAAATCTGTAGCTCTAAATGCATATATTAGAAGAGAGAAAAAGTCTCAAATAAAAAATGTAAGCTCTTACTTCAAGAACCTACAGCTAGAAGAGAAAAATAAAGTCAAAGCAAGCAGAAGGAAAGAAGTAATAAAAAGAGGAGCAGAAATCAATGAAATTGAAAAGGCATACCTATATAGAAAATCAATAAAACAAAGACTCATTATTTGAAAATGTCAATAAAATGGACACAATTTGCAAAACTTCTTGCAAGATGAACAAAGGAAAAACAGAAGTAATAAGTTACCAATGTCAGGAATGAAACAGGGATATCAGTATAGACCCTGCAGATTTAAAAAGCAAAATAAGGGAATAAAAACAAACAACTCTGCACATATAAATTTAACAATTAAGACGAAAATGGACTAATTCCTCAAAAAACATAAACAGCCACCGTTAACCCAAAATGAAATAATTTAAGTAGTTGCATAGTTATTAAGGAAACTGAATTTGTAATTTTAAAGAACTTTAAGAAAGGTAATCTCCAGAACTAATGGTTTCACTGAAGAATTCAACCAAATAGTTAATAAGGAATCGACATCAATTGTACACAATCTTTTCCGGAAAATAAGAGAAAAAAAAAACCATTCCCAATTCATTCTGTAAAGCCAATATTAACCTTATACCAAAATGAAATGAAGATATTACATAAAGAAAATTCTAAATCAATATCCTTCCTGAATACAGATAAAAAATTCTTAAATATACAATCATGTCATGTGCAAACAGAGACAATTTGACTTCCTGTTTTCCTAATTGAATGCCCTTTATTTCTTTCTCTTGCCAGATTGCCATGGCCAGAACTTCCAATACCATATTGAATAGGAGTGGCGAGAGAGGGCATCCTTGTCTTGTGCCGGTTTTCAAAGGGAATGCTTCCAGTTTTTGCCCATTCAGTATGATATTGGCTGTGAGTTTGTCATAAGTAGCTCTTATTATTTTGAGATACGTTCCATCAATACCTAGTTTATTGAGAATTTTTAGCATGAAGTGCTGTTCAATTTTGTCGAAGACCTTTTCTATACCTATTGACATAATCATGTGGTTTTTGTCGTTGGTTCTGTTTACGTGAGGGATTACGTTTATTGATTTGCGTATGTTGAACCATCCTTGCATCCCAGGGATGAAGCTGACTTGATCATGGTGGATAAAGCTTTTTGATACACTGCTGGATGTGGTTTGCCAGTATTTTATTGAGGATTTTCACATCGATGTTCTTCAGGAATATTGGCCTAAAATTTTCTTTTTTTATTGTGTCTCTGCCAGGTTTTGGTATCAGGATGATGCTGGCCTCATAAAATGAGTTAGGGAGGATTCTCTCTTTTTCTATTGATTGGAATAGTTTCAGAAGGAATGGTACCAGCTCCTCTATGTACCTCTGGTAGAATTTGGCTGTGAATCCGTCCGGTCCTGGACTTTTTTGGTTGATAGGTATTAATTATTGCCCCAATTTCAGAACCTGTTATTGGTCTATACAGAGATTCGACTTCTCCTGGTTCAGTCTTGGGAGGGTATATGTGTCTGGGAATTTATCCATTTCTTCTAGATTTTCTAGTTTACTTGCACAGAGGTGGTTATAGTATTCTCTGATGGCAGTTTGTATTTCTGTGGGATCGGTGGTGATATCCCCTTTATCATTTTTTATTGTGTCTATTTGATTCTTCTCTCTTTTCTTCTTTATTAGTCTTGCTAGTGGTCTATTTTGTTGATCTTTTCAAAAAAAACATCTCCTGGATTCATTGATTTTTTTGAAAGGTTTTTTGTGTCTCTATCTCCTTGAGTTCTGCTCTGATCTTAGTTATTTCTTGTCTTCTGCTAGGTTTTGAATTGGTTTGCTCTTGCTTCTCTAGTTCTTTTAATTGTGATTATGTTAGGGTGTTGATTTTAGATCATTCCTGCTTTCTCTAGTGGCCACTTAATGCTACAAATTTCCCTCTACACACTTCTTTAAACAAATCCCAGAGATTCTGGTACGTTGTGTCTTTGTTCTCATTGGTTTCAAAGAACATCTTTATCTCTGCCTTCATTTCGTTACGTACCCAGTAGTCATTCAGGAGCAGGTGGTTCAGTTTCCATGTAGTTGAGTGGTTTTGAGTGAGTTTCTTAATTCTGAGTTCTAATTTGATTGCATTGTGGTCTGAGAGATAGTTTGTTATGATTTCTTTTCTTTTACATTTGCTGAGGAGTGTTTTACTTCCAACCTTGTGGTCAATTTTAGAATAAGTGTGATGTGGTGCTGAGAAGAATGTATATTCTGTTGATTTGGGGTGGAGAGTTCTGTAGATGTCTATGAGGTCCACTTGGTGCAGAGCTGAGTTCAAGTCCTGAATATCATTAATTTTTTGTCTCATTGATCTGTCTAATATTGACAGTGGGTGTTAAAGTCTCCCACTATTATTGTGTGGGAGTCTAAGCCTCTTTGTAGATGACATGATTGTATATTTAGAAAACCCCATTGTCTCAGTCCAAAATCTCCTTAAGCTGATAAGCAACTTCAGCAAAGTCTCAGGATACAAAATCAATGTGCAAAAATTACGAGCATCCCAATACACCAATAATGGACAAACAGAGAGACAAATCATGAGTGAACTCCCATTCACAATTGCCACAAAGAGAATAAAATAGCTAGGAATCCAGCTTACAAAGGATGTGAAGGACCTCTTTAAGGAGAACTTGAAGGAAATAAAAGAGGACACAAACAAATGGAAAAACATTCCATGCTCATGGATAGGAAGAATCAATATCATGAAAATGGCCATACTGCCCAAAGTAATTTATAGATTCAATGCTATCCCCAACAACCTACCACTGACTTTCTTCAAAGAGTTGGAAAAAACTACTTTAAAGTTCATATGGAACCAAAAAAGAGCCCGCATAGCCAATAGAATCCTCAGCAAAAAGAACAAAGCTAGAGGCATCACGCTACCTGACTTCAAACTATACTACAAGGCTACAGTAACCAAAACAGCATGGTAGTGGTACCAAAACAGAGATATAGACCAATGGAACAGAACAGAGGCCTCAGAAATAACACCACATATCTACAACAATCTGATCTTTGACAAACCTGACAAAAACAAGCAATGGGGAAGGGATTCCCTATTTAATAAATAGTGCTGGGAAAACTGGCTAGCCATATGCAGAAAGCTGAAACTGGATCACTTCCTTACACCTTATACAAAAATTAACTCAAGATGGATTAAAGACTTAAATATAAGGCCTAAAACGTTAAAAACCCTAGAAGGAAACCTAGGCAATACCATTCAGGACATAGGCATGGGCAAAGACTTCATGACTAAAACACCAAAAGCAATGGTAACAAAAGCCAAACTTAACAAATGGGATCTAATTAAACTAAAGAGATTCTGCACACCAAAAGAAACTATCATTGGAGTGGACAGGCAACCTACAGAATAGGAGAAAATGTTTGCAATCTATCCATCTGACAAAGGGCTAATATCCAGAATCTACAAAGAACTTAAACAAATTTACAAGAAAAAAGAGAAACAACCCCATCAAAAAGTGAGCAAAGGATATGAACAGACAGTTCTCAAAAGAAGATATCTATGCAGTCAACAGACATATGAAGAAATGCTCATCATCACTGGTCATTAGAGAAATGCAAATCAAAACCACAATGAGATACCATCTCACACCAGTTAGACTGGCAATCATTAAAAAGTCAGGAAACAACAGATGCTGGAGAGGATTTGGAGAAATAGGAATGCTTTTACACTGTTGGTGGGAGTGTAGATTAGTTCAACCATTGTGGAAGACAGTGTGGCAATTCCTCCAGGATCTAGAACTAGAAATACCATTTGAACTAGCAATCCCATTACTGGATATATACCCAAAGGATTATAAATCATGCTACTATGAAGACACATGCACACGTATGTTTATTGTGGCACTATTCACAATAGCAAGGACTTGTAACCAACCCAAATGTCCATAAATGATAGACTGGATAAAGAAAATGTGGCACATATACCATGGAATACTATGCAGCCATAAAAAAGGATGAGTTCATGTCCTTTGCAGGGACATGGATAAAGCTGGAAACCATCATTTTCAGCAAACTATCACAAGGACAGAAAACCAAACACCACATATCCTCACTCATAATTGGCAGTTGGATAATGAGAACACATGGACACAGGGAGGGGAATATCACACACTGGGGCCTATCGGGGGTGGGGGGAGGGGGGAAGGATAGCATTAGGAGAAATACCTAATGTAATTGATGAGTTGATGGGTGCAGCAAACCAACATGGCACATGTATACCTATGTAACAAACCTGCACGTTGTGCACATGTACCCCAGAACTTAAAAAAATTCTTAACAAAATACTTGCAAACAGACTTCAACAATATATGAGAAGAATTTTGCAACATTTATCTCAAGGATGCAAGACTAGTTCAATATTCAAAACCCAGTTAATGTAATCGACCATTCTAACAACTCTGACAAGAAAAGTCACAATTACAGTGTTCTTATATAACATAGTGTTAGAAGTTCTAGCCAGTTCAATAGGCAAGAAAAGGAAATGAAAAGCATACAAAACACAAAGAAATGAAACCGTTTCTATTTGCAGATGACATGATTGTCTATATAGACAATCTCATAGAATTCACAAAAAAACCCTCCTAGAATTTAAAAAGTGAGTTTAGCAAAGCAACATAAGATAACCACTAAAAATATAAATTGTATTTCAATATACTAGCAATGAAAATGTGCACACTGGAAAATGATTTATTTATTTTTGTAATATCATTTAAATTGCTCAAAAAAAGCTTAGCTATAAATCTAACAAAACACGTACGAAACATGTAAAGGATTTGCATTCTGAAAACAACAAAATGATGATGAAAGAAGTCATAGAAGATCTAAATAAATTGAGACATACCATGTTCATTGACTGAAATATTCATATATAGTAAAAGTATGAATTCTCCCACAAATTAATACACAAATCTAACACAATTCTTACCAAAATACTGGCAAGAATTGTTTAAGATTGACAATATTATTCTAAAATTTATATGGAAGGTAAACGAACTAAAAGAGCTTAGGGAAGTTTAAAAATCTAAAGTAGGAAGAATTTATCTACTTGACTTCAAGACTTATTATATAGCTACAGTAATCACAACTTTGTAGCATTGGTGGAGGGATAGACATAAAAATCAATGAAAATAATTGAGAAACCAGAAATAGACCCACATAAGTACAGCCAATTTTTTTGACAATGGTGCAAAAACAATTCAATAGAGAAAAAACAGCCTTTTAAACAAATGGTACTAGAGCAATTGGATATCACACAGAAAAGAAGGAAAAAGAGACAGAAAGAGGGGAAGGGATGTAGGGAGAAAGGAAAGAAAGGGAAAAAAGAACAAGGAAGGAAAGAGAGGGAAGGAAGGAAGAAAAGAAAGAAGGAAGGAAGAAAAAGACTTGACCTAAGTCTCATCTCTTAATACAAAAACTCAAAATGAATCACAGTAAAAAAGACTAACAATCCAATTAGAAAATGGGCAAATGATATGAAAAGACATTTTTGCCAAATAGAATATATGGATGGCAAATAAGTACATGAAAAGATGTTACACATTTTTAGCCATTAGGAAAATGCAAATTAAAACTACATTGAGGCCAGGTGTGGTGGGTCATGCCTGTAATCCTCAGCACTTTGGAAGGCCGAGGTGGGTGGGTCGCTTGAATCCAGGAGTTTGAGGCCAACTCTGGCAACATAGTGAGACCCACTGTCTCTACAAAAATTACAAAAAATAGCCAGATGTGGTGGTGTGTGCATGTATTCCCAGCTGCTTGGGAGGCTTAGGTGGAAGGATCACCTGAGCGAGGGAAGGTGGAGCCTGCAGTGTGCACTGATTGCATCACTGCATCCCAGCCTGGGTAAGAGAGTGAGACCTTGTCTGAAAAAAAAAAAAAAAATAGCACACACCACATTGAGATATAACTACATATTTATCAGATGTCTAAAATAAAGCTAAATCACTTATACATTGCTGGTGGGAATGTACCTTGGTAGAGACACTCTAAATAACTACTTTGCCATTTCTTTTCTTTTCTTTTTTTTTTTTATTATACTTTAAGTTCTAGGGTACATGTGCACAACATGCAGGTTTGTTACATATATATACATGTGCCATGTTGGTGTGCTGCACCCATTAACTCATCATTTACATTAGGTATATTTCCTAATGCTATCCCTCCCCCCTCCTCCAAAGTTAAAATGCAATTACCATGACTCAGTAATTACACTCCTGGATTTAACCCAGAAAAATGAAAATTTATGTTCACACAGAAACCTGCCACAGGAATGTTCATAGCCAACCCCAGTCCAAAAATCTATACACTATATTATTCCATTCATATAAAATTCTTGAAATGATAAAAGTATAGAAATAGAGAACAGATTAGTAGTTTGGGGGGTTTAAAGGTGGATAGAGGAGGAGAGAGTGGGTGTGGTATAAAAGGGCAACATGACGGATGGATCCTGGTGATAGCAGAAATATTCTATATCTTGACTGTATGAATGTCAAGATATTGTCATATTAGCCTACAGTTTTGCATGATGTTACCATTGGTAGAAACCGAGTAAAGCATAAATGGAATTTCTTATATCTTATAATTGCATGTAAATTTACAATGATCTCAAAATTGAAAGTGTAATTTTTTTAAAAAAATTATGCAATGGCCAGCAAATGCAATTGTGAACTTGGACTGGATCCGGGATGGAAGCCCAAGCCAAACATCCATCTCTAACAAATATTTGAAGTACATTTGGAGAAATTTAAATATGGGTGTGTATTGGATAATGTTTATTATGTAAGTTAAGTTTTCAAGTGTGATAATTATATTATAGTTATATAGAAAACTCTCCTTGTTCTTAGTTGTATTAGCCCATTTCACACTGCTAATAAAGACATACCCAAGACTGGGCAATTTATGAAAGAAAGAGGTTTATTGGACTTACAGTTCCACATGGCTGGGGAGGCCTCATGATCATGGTGGAAAGCAAGGAGGAGCAAGTCACATCTTACATGGATGGCAGCAGGCAAAGAGAGAACATGTGCAGGGAAACTCCCATTTTTAAAACCGTCAGAACTTATGAGACCTATTCACTATTATAAGAACAGCACAAGAACTACCCGCCCCCATGATTCAATCATTTCCCACCAGGTCCTTCCCATAACACGTGGGAATTATGGGAGATACAAGATGAGGTTTGGGTGAGGACACAGAGCCAAATCATATCATTCCACCCCTGGCCTCTCCCAAATATCGTATCTTCACATTTGAAAATGAATCATGCCTTCCCAATAGTCCCCCTAAGTCTCAGCTCATTTCAGCATTAACTCAAAAGTCCACAGTCCAAAGTCTCATCTGAGACAAAGCAAGTCCCTTCACCTATGAGCCTATAAAATCAAAAGCAAGTTAGTTACTTCCTAGGTACAATGGGGGTACAGTCATTGGGTAAATACACCTGTTCCAAATGGGAGAAATTGGCCAAAACAAAAGAGCTAAAGGGCTCATGCAAATCCAAAATCCAGCAGGGCAGTTAAATCTTAAAGCTCCAAAATGATCTCCTTTGTCTCCATGTCTCAAATCCAGGTCACACTGATGCAAGAGGTGGGTACTCATGGTCTTAGGCAGCTCTGCCCCTGTGGCTTTGCAGGGTACAGCCCCTCCCAGTTGCTTTCACAGGCTGGTGTTGAATGTCTGTAGCTTTTCCAGGCAAACAGTGCAAGCTGTCAGTAGATCTACCATTCTGGGGTCTGGAGGATGGTGGCCCTCTTCTCACAGCTCCACTAGGCAGAGCCCCAGTAGGAACTCTATGTGGGGGCTCTGACCCTACATTGCCTTTCCACACTTCCCTAGCAGAAGTCCTCCATGAGGGCCCCACCCCTGCAGCAAACTTCTGCCTGGGCATCCAGGCGTTTCCATACATCTTTCTGAAATCTAGGCAGAGGTTCTCCAACCACAATTCTTGACTTCTGGGCACTCGCAGGCTCAACACCACATGGAAGTTGCCAAGGCTTGGGGCTTGCGCCCTCTGAAGCCACAGCCCGAGCCATACCTTGGACCCCTTTAGTCATGGCTGGAGCAGTTGGGACACAGGGCACCAAGTCCCAAGACAGCACACAGCACAGGAGCCCTGGGCCGGGACCACAAAACCACTTTTTCCTCCTAGGCCTCTGGGCTTGTGATGGGAGGGGCTGCTGCGAAGGCCTCTGACATACCCTGGAGATATTTTTTCCATTGTCTTGGAGATTAACATTCGGCTCTTCATTACTTATGCAAATTTCTGCAGCTGGCTTAAATTTCTCCTCAGAAAATGGGATTTTTTTTTTCTATTTCATTGTCAGGCAGCAAATTTTCCAAACTTTTATGCTCTGCTTCCCTTATAAAACTGAATGCCTTTAACAGCACCCAAGCCACCTCTTGAATGCTTTCCTGCTTAGAAATTTCTTCCACCAGATACCCTAAATCATCTCTCTTAAGTTCAAAGTTCTACAAATCTCTAGGGCAGGGGCAAAATGCATCCAGTTTCTTTGCTAAAACATAACAAGAGGCACCTTTTCTCCAGTTCCCAACAAGTTCCTCATCTCCATCTGATACCACCTCAGCCTGGATTACATTATCCATATCATTATCAGCATTTTAGTCAAAGCCATTGAACAAGTGTCTAGGAAGTTCCAAACTTTCCCACATTTTCCTGTCTTCTTCTGAGCCCTCCAAGCTGTTCCAACCTCTCCCTGTTATCTAGTTCCAAAGTTGCTTCCCCATTTTCAGATATCTTTTCAGCAGCACCCACTCTGCTGGTACCAATTTACTGTAATAGTCCTTTTTCACACTGCTGATAAAGGTATACCCAAGACTGAGCAATTTACAAAAGAAGGAGGTTTATTGGACTCACAGTTCCACTTAGCTGGGGAGGCCTCACAATCATGGTAGATGAAAGGCATATCTCACATGGCAGCAGACAAGAGAAGAGAGTTTGGGCAGGGAGACTCCCATTTTTAAAATCATCAGATTTAGTGAGACTCATTCACTATCATGAGAACAGCACAGGAAAGACTTGCCCCCATGACTCAATCATCTTTTACCGGGTCCCTCCCACAACACATGGAAATTGTGGGAGCTGAAAGATGAGATTTGGGCCAGGCGCAGTGGCTCAAGCCTGTAATCCCAGCACTTTGGGAGGCTGAGGAGGACGGATCGTGTGAGGTCAGGAGTTTGAGACCAGCCTGACCAACATGGAGAAACCCCGTCTCTACCAAAAATGCAAAATTTGCCAGGCATGGTGGCACATGCCTGTAGTCCCAGCTACTCAGGAGGCTGAGGCAGGGGAATCACTTGAACCCAGGAGGCGGAGGTTGCAGTGAGCCAAGATCATGCCATGGCACTCTAGCCTGGGCAAAAACAGCAAAACTCCAACTCAAAAAAAAAAAAAAAAGATGAGATTTGGGTGGGGACACAGGCCAAACCATATAATTAGTGTAATGAAATATTTAAGGATAACATGCCCCTTACTCTCAAACCATTGAGAAATTATAAACTGGAGAAAGGGAAGTAGGATGAAAGAAGGAAAGGAAAGCAGCCTCCATAACCAATAGCTATCAACTTTGTCCCATATTTTAAGAGTTAAGATCTCAACTAACAAAGTAATCTTTAATGTCTCACTGGCCTGGACAAACACAGCAATTCCTTTTCATAACACTAATGTTTCACTTTCTTAGATAAAGTTTGTAACCCTTTTATATATCTGATATGTTTTACTGGATAGATACTGTAACCTTTTTCAAATATATGTTATCACTACATTTGAATAGCCTTTTTCAGCCAGGCGCCATGGCTCATGCCTGTAATCCCAGCACTTCGGGAGGTCGAGGCGGGTGGAACACCTGAGGTCAGGAGTTTGCGACCAGCTGGCCAACATGGGGAAACCCCGTCTCTTCCAAAAATACAAAAATACAAAAAATTAGCTGGGCGTGGTGACACGAGCCTGTAGTCCCAGCTACTCGGGAGGCTGAGACGGGAGAATCACTTGAACCCAGGAGATGGAGGTTGCAGTGAGCCAAGATCACGCCACTGCACTCCAGCCTGGGCAACAGAGCAAGACTTTGTCTAAAAAAAAAAAATTAAAAAATAAATAGCCTTTATCCAGTTTGTGAACATATGACTCACATTTCCCTCTTGGCTGAATGTCCTTGGGTCTCATCGTCCCCACTGCAATGTCAGCAAGAAAACAAGGTGATTCTTTGAAGTGGCTTCAGATTGCACTCCTGTCAAAAGAAAGCTTGTGATGTTGATGAATTTAGGAACTGTGGGATAGTGGTCCTCAAGCCCTGGTGGGTAAGCTCTTCCTTCCTTTCCCAATGTAGTTCTTACATAAACAGCAAGACTATGTTTTAAATTTTTAAATTGGTAGTCAATTTAAATTTAAATTCCAATCACGGTGGCTATTTCAGAAAGTAGAGCTGAGTTTCAAAATGTTAAGGAGGACATTTTTACTTTTTATTTTATAATCTTCTGTAACATGACTATTTTCTCTTGTCTGTGAATTTGAATTTCTTTTTAAAGTTGTGGGTGTGGGTTGGTGGGAGGGCGTGGAGGGGTTATGTTCATTTGGTTTTTAAGACAATACTCAATCTTAGAATCCTGGAAAGAACAAATAGGATGATACCAAGAGCCAGATGGAACACAAACTGATACCTTTCTGGGAAGTCATTTGTAACAGGAGTCATAAATATTCACAGCCTTTGGCCTACCAATTTCCCTTGAAGGAATCCTTCTTAAAGTCATAATTTAAAATGCTGACAAAGATTCATGCAAAAAAAGTTCATTGGCACATTATAAATGCAAAGGTAGAAGAAATAACCTAATGTTCAACCTTAGAGGAATAGTTAATTTACTATAAGTGCAGTTGTATAGATAGGAAACTGTACATTCTTTAATATTATCCTGAAACATTTGATGACAAATAAAAATGCTTGATGTGTTTGAAGTAAATATAAGTGACTTTAAGAGCAATGCAACTAAAGCTGTTGAATTTCAGTTTCCAACTGTGTTCCAATGTCTAATATTTTATTTCCTCTCCGGAATACGATTTTTGGCACTTCTCTACCTTAGTTTTGAGGGATTTCCCATTAGAAAACACACCTGTCTGGTCATGGCTAAAATTCTTTGTTGCCCATTGACTTGTAATATTGACCCTTTATATCCCTACCTTACTGGTGCAGAAAACAACAAAAAAAAATGTAAATGGTCCTTAATAAATGCCTTAAGAAAAAATTACCACCATTATCACCCTCAAATAACCATTTTAGAAATCTTCCAATGGGCATATATCAAATCTTCAAAGGACATTATTTATTTAACATAATTGATATCCCCTACAGAATCTTCTTCAGGAAAGTAGTATCATTAGCTCATTCAGAACATGAACATTACTTGGTTATAAGAAAGCGAACACTCATACCATTTAGGACATAGGCATGGGCAAGGACTTCATGTCTAAAACACCAAAAGCAATGGCAACAAAAGACAAAATTGACAAATGGGATCTAATTAAACTAAAGAGCTTCTGCACAGCAAAAGAAACTACCATCAGAGTGAACAGGCAACCTATAGAATGGGAGAAAATTTTTGCAATCTACTCATCTGACAAAGGGCTAATATCCAGAATCTACAATGAACTCCAACAAATTTACAAGAAAAAAACCAAATAACCCCATCAAAAAGTGGGCTAAGGATATGAACAGACAGTTCTCAAAAGAAGACATTTATGCAGCCAAAAGACACATGAAAAAATGCTCATCATCACTGGCCATCAGAGAAATGCAAATCAAAACCACAATGAGATACCATCTCACACCTGTTAGAATGGCGATCATTAAAAAGTCAGGAAACAACAAGTGCTGGAGAGGATGTGGAGAAATAGGAACACTTTTACACTGTTGGTGGGAATGTAAACTAGTTCAACTATAGTGGAAGTCAGTGTGGCGATTCCTCAGGGATCTAGAACTAGAAATATCATTTGACCCATCCATCCCATTACTGGGTATATACCCAAAGGATTATAAATCATGCTGCTATAAAGACACATGCACACATATGTTTATTGCAGCACTATTCACAATAGCAAAGACTTGGAACCAACCCAAATGTCCAACAATGATAGACTAGATTAAGAAAATGTGGCACATATACACCATGGAATACTATGCAGCCATAAAAAATGATGAGTTTCATGTCCTTTGTAGGGAAATGGATGAAACTGGAAACCATCATTCTCAGCAAACTATCGCAAGGACAAAAAAACCAAACACTGTATGTTCTCACTCATAGGTGGGAACTGAACAATGAGAACATATGAACACAGGAAGGGGAACATCACACACCGGGAACTGTTGTGGGGTGGGGGGAGGGGGGAGGGATAGCATTAGGAGATATACCTAATGCTAAATGACGAGTTAATGGGTGCAGCACACCAACATGGCACATGTATACATATGTAACAAACCTGCACGTTGTGCACATGTACCCTAAAACTTAAAGTATAATAATAATAAAATTTAAAAAGAAAAGCGAACACTCTCATGTTGTTTGTTAAAGCAATGTTCTACTTAGTAAATCCACAAAGAAATCTGTTCTGTTCTGGCAGGAATTGGGATGAAAGTGACTTTTTGGTGGATGCATTCTGCAAGTTCAATTTGAAATTGAAAGTTATTTTGTTCTTAATAATCACAAGGTATTAACGACCACACCATATGAGAGAGGCAAATGTGGGTAAAGATTGCAGGAGTCTGGAATATGTGTCCTACTATATGTGACAGAAAACGAAAAGGTATGATAGCATTAATAAAACACACTCAAACACACACACACACTTACACAAACCTTCCATTTCCTTTGATAGTAAAGCCATTTGTAATTTACCTAATTTTGTCATTCTAATAAACCTCATTGTAGGCTGACTCTGCTCTAAAAAAATTGTATATTCCCCCCACCCCAAAACATTTGCATTTAGTTGTTTGGAACAAAATACACATTCTTCTATAGAAACAATGTTATAAATTGGGATTAGTTTTCCAGTCAGCCTCACAAGAGACAATTTGGTTCATACTGTAACTAAAATATGTTTGCGATGAAAATATGCAATTATTGAAAATAATACTGTTGCATAAAAGACATTATTTCAACTACATTGTGGGCAATTCAAGAAAACTAATCGTGATTTAGTGTCCTTTTTGGGAAATCATATCACAAATTCGAATCAGGAACACTGGAAACAAGTATCCTGTTTTTCCCACCAAGTTCAAACCTCAGTTTGGGACACTTCCTCCTGTCCTGCCTCAGATTCTCTCCTTTCGCTGCTGCTGCGAGAGCCTCCACACCTAGCAACCATCAGCAATATACACAAACCAGGCTTTTAAATTCAGACACTTCCTAAACGATAAACCTCCAATTGTTTCAAAATACAGATAAACCAAAAGCTTAAATATACGTTTTTGGGCCGGGTTCAGTGGTTAACACCTGTAATTCCAGCAGTAAGTAGCAAAGTCAAACAAAGGCACATGCTCCAACATAGATAAATATTTATTAGGTGAACATGTTAAGCAATAATACTGAAAGGACATGTAGGCATCCTTTTGCTTTATTTCAGGTTTGGGGTGATTTTAGTAATTTTCAAAAATGTGTCCAGAAGGGAAGGTACAAAGAGAATTCATAAGGTAGTACTTACTTCGGTGAATTAATCTGACTTTTAGCTCAGTTCAAAAACTGAATCTGCCGGCTGGGCGCGGTGGCTCACGCCAGTAATCCCAGCACTTTGGGAGGCCGAGGCAGGTGGATCACGAGGTCAGGAGATCGAGACCATCCTGGCTAACACGGTGAAACTCCGTCTCTACTAAAAATACAAAAAAATTCTCCAGGCGTGGTGGCGGGCGCCTGTAGTCCCAGCTACTCGGGATGCTGAGGCAGGAGAATGGCGTGAGCCCGGGAGGCGGAGCTTGCAGCGAGCGGAGATCGCGCCACTGCACTCCAGCCTGGGCGACAGAGCGAGACTCCGTCTCAAAAAAACAAACAAACCAACAAACAAAAAACACAACAGTGATTTTTACCACACCATGTGTCTGGGCACTAACTCGGCTCACAAGAAACATATAGGCAAATCAGACAAAAGCAATTCATTTGCATTAAAACTATAATTCACAAGTAGATCAGATACTTACATCCTCTGGCTGGTACATTTTTTCCCTCAAGGAAAGCAGTTAATTGGGTGAATTTATCATCTCAACATTGCTTGATGAACAGCGGCAAAATTAAGAACAAAACTGGCTCCAATGCAGTGGATATGTGCCCACCTTCCCCTTTCTTCAAAATTAAGAAAAAAATAGACTCATTCCTTTATCCAAGAGCAGGAAAAATGAGCGTGACCACAAAAAAAGCCTAGGTTTTTTATTGGATTTGGGGAAGACAACGGAGAAGGAGGGCACATATTTGTATTCCTTGCTAGTAGATGGGCTTTACCAAGGAAAACTCGTTGTCTTGGAAATTTTGGAGAACTTTTGTAGATTTCAATGTGATTTCTAAAACTAAACTTCTGCCTCCTGGTGGCTCAGACTCTGCTTCTAGCCTGGACAGTTGACAACCAAAGGTGCATCTCCAAAGCCTGCCATTACTGTGTACAGTCTCCCCGGGAGCCTCCCTGCACAAATCCACATGTCCACACACCTTCCCTTCCCTCTTTGTCACCCCCTCCCACTGCCCTGCCCCTCCACTGCTCTGAGCACTTTCCCTCATGTTGATGGAGTACGGTAGTGGGGAGGATGGAGAAGAGGGTGGAATGGTGGGGGCTGCTGAGAAACTTAGGACACTTACAGTGTATTTTAAGGCCAGAATCCTGTATTCAGAAATATCCTTTCATGTGCTTCTTTGGCTTCATTAACTGCTGGTAGCAATTGTAACATTTAACAACTCAAAGATTATGACATCAGGCCATCTCCAAAATGCCTGCCTTTGAAAATGGGCAACCAGGGGGAGATTTTGATCCAAGGCACCTCCTCCTCCAAACAGCTGCCACACTAGATCTCTGACCTTGCCTAGGTCCCATCATATCGAATTCCTCTTTCGCCTTTTAATTACCTCATTCTTTCTTGGTCTATACTTTCATAAAAGGTTAGCGTATCTACATTCTTATTCTTGCTTCTGGCACAAGAAAGATTCTGACTCTCAGGTGTTTTTGTCCAGATCGCATGTACCAGGTTGCGTTTCTTCTCTGAACACACAGTCTCCCCAGGTTGTGTCACCTCCTTAAAACAGCTGGGCACAGACACCTTCTGGAAAGTTTTGTGTCCCCTCAGGAGTATGCCCACTCTGATCTGAAGCCTGCTGCTTTAGTTCCTTCTCCCTGCCTCAACCACACTGACTTTAAGGCTCTGGATTATAAATGTAGCTTATTTCAGCTTTAGGGCCTTTGCAATAGGTGTTCCCTCTGCATGGACCACTCTGCTGAAAGATCTTTGCATGCAGAAACCATCACTCAGGTATTTAGTTTAAATCTCTCCTTCACAGATGAGTGGTGAGTGAGGGAATGAAGCTGCATCTGTATTTACAGCCACTCCCCATCCTCACATTACTGCCTGAGCTCCACCTTCTGCCACATCAGCTGTGGCATTAGATTCTCACAAGAGCACAAACCCTTTCGTGAACTGCACATGTGAGGGATCTAGGTTGCACACTCCTTATGAGAATTTAATGCCTGATGATCTGCCACTGTCTCTCATCACCCCCAGATGGGACTGTCTAGTTGCAGCAAAACAAGCTCAGAAATCCCACTGATTCTACATTATGGTGAGTTGTATAATTATTTCATTATATAGTGCAATGTAATGATAATAGAAATAAAGTGCGCAATAAATGTAATGCACTTGAATCAACCCAAAACCATCCCTCTGCCCCACTCTGCTCTGTAGAAAAACTGTCTTCCAAAAATCCACTCCCTGGTTCCAAAATGTTTGGGGACTGCTGCACTGCTGTATCTCCTGGGCTAAGAACAGTGCCTAACACATTCTATTAATTATCTATTGCTGTGTACCAAATTACCCAAACTTTAGAGCTTAAGACAACATTTATTATATCACAGTTTTTGTAGGTTCCAGCTTAGGGTCTCTTGTGAGATTGCAGTCAAGATGTCATCTGATGGCTTGACTGGGGCTGGAAGATCCACTTCCAGGATGACTCACTCACAAGGCTTTGGCAGAAAGCCTCAGCAATCGTCTGGCTATTGGCAAGAGGGCTCAGTTGCTCAGCAGCCTTTCTAAAGGGCTACTTGGGTGTCCTCAGGACAGGGCAGGGCTTTTCCCTCATAGCAAATAAGAGAGAGCAAGACAGAAGCTACAATGTCTTCTATAGCCCAGTCTAGGGAGGCACATTCCGTCATTTCCACAATATCCTGTTTGATATGGTTTGGCTCTGTCCCCACCCAAATCTCATCTTGAATTGTAGCTCCCCTAATTTCCACGTGTTGTGGGAGGGACCCAGTGGGAGATAACTGAATCACAGGGGCAGTTTCCCCCATACTGTTCTTGTAGTAGTGAATAAGTCTCACAAGATCTGATGGTTTTATAAAGGGAAACCCCCTTCACTTAGATCTCATTCTCTCTCTTGTCTGCTGCCATGTAAGACATGCCTTTTGCCTTCCACCATGATTGTGAGGCTTCCCCAGTCATGTGGAACTGTGAGTCCATTAAACCTCTTTTACTTTATAAACTACCCAGTCTCAGGTATGTCTTTATCAGCTGTGTGAGAACAGACTAATATACTGTTACATGAGGCAGCCCTATGTATTGTGGAAGCAAACTACACGTGGGCATAAATACCATCTTCAAGGCAGGCTGCCACACACACTTATAATGGTTGTTCAATAAGTGTATTTTGAGCTAATGAATTGTGTCATAATTTTATAATTCAACTTGTAGAGAGCCATCTTATTTCCAAATGTTTGGGGAAGTTTTACCTTCCCAACTCTACCTTCAGCTGTGTAAAACTATTTCCTATTTCATTTTTCAAATAGGATGTGAGAAACAGCAACCCAGGAATGATATTGTCTTAGTTCAATCTGTGCTGCTATAACAGCATAACACTGACTGGGTAATTTATAATGAACAGAAATTTACTGGCTTAGTTCTGGAGGCTGGGAAGTCCAAACTCAAGGGGCTGGTATCTTGCAAGAGCCTTCTTGCTGTGTCATCCTATGTTGGAGGGCAAAGTGAAGGCAAGAGAGAAAGAGATGGAGAGAAAGACGGGGCTGAACCAAACTTGTCCCTTTATAAGGAACCTACTCCCAGAATAACGAATTCACTCGCATGATAATGGCATTGATCCATTCATGAAGAGTGTCCTTCCACGACCCAAATGCCTCTCATTAGGTCCCACCTCCCAAAACCACCACATTGGGGATCAAGTTTCCAACGCATGAAATTTAGGGGACGCATTGAAACTATAGAAGATATGGAGACTATATCTTTATTCATGTTTGATTTACTTATAAGGACAACTGGACAAAATATTTTAAATTATTAGGTTGGTACAAAAGTAATTGGCATTTTTTCCATTAAAAGTAAAGGCAAAGACCACAATTATTTTTGCACCAATCTAATAGCAGCTTTTCAGGAAACCTGATCATTGTGGTTGCTATATATAGGTAACTTTACTAATAGGAATATTCAATTATTTCCATCTGCGTAGGACTTCCTAGTTTGCAAGGTATCTTTCCATATGACCTCATTTGAACTCATAACAGCTCTGAAAAGAAGACAGGATAGATTTCATTACAACTCTATAGATAAGGACATCTGACCAGGTCCCAATTTCAATGAGAGTCAGAAGCAGGAGTAGAACTTTGGCTTTCTTATTTCGAGTATCAGGAAAGAATTCAAGAAAGAACTGTGCATAAAGTAGGCTTAGCTATGCAGCAGAAAAGACAATCCCAATATCTCAATGGCTTAAAATAACAGGCGTTTGTTTCCTGCTCTCGTAAGTCCAATGCAGGTGGATTGACTTTCCAAGGCAACTGCCCTTCATACATCAACTGAGTGATACATCTCTTCCCTCTTGTAGTTGCCCTTTGCTCCTTGGTTGCACACAGGGGAAACAGTCTTGCAATGAAAATAAAACGCTTTGACCTAGGAATGATATGCATCCTTCTCGTCATAGCTCACAGGCCAGAACTAGTCACGTGGCCCTGCCTGATTGCAAAGGGAAATGGTATTTGTAAGTTTCCTGTGTGCCCAAGGCATGGATGAGCACTAAAACTCTCTCCTATATTGAATAAATTGGATTTGAAGGAGTAGGAAAAGGCCCCTTGAGGGCACTTATGAAAACAATGTAAAGAAACATACACAGAACACCTAATCTTTTTGAAAGCCTGGTGCTGGAGTCTCTCACAATAGATTTTTATTATTTTATACTGACAAAAGCCTGGTAAGGTAGACATTATCCCCTTTTTTATAGTTTTTGGTCATTGTAGTTCATGGAGGTTATGTAACCTGCCCCAGAGCTCACACTAAGAAGTGGAGGGAACTCTGATTCTCTTGCTCTTCCTTTTCTCCAGCTCTCAATTTCATATAATGATCTTTTCTTCCATCCCATAAGAGATTTAATTTTTAAGAGGAGCTTCTAGGGAGGGATACACAAAGGCTGGCAATGTTTTATTTTTTAAAGCTGGGTGGTGAGCACACAGATGTTTGTGCTCTTTTTATGTCTTAAGTGTTTCAAAATACAATCTTTTAAAAGGGGGTTGACAGAACCTGAGAACCAGTGATAAATTCTTCTTAAAAAGAGAAGCATTTTTAATGAATATTGGCAGCCAGAAAGTAGGACATATAGTATTGGTAACATTTATTGAGCCCATACTATGTCCTAGTTTTGGGTTTATTTGTTTGTTCGTTTGTTCCTTGAGACAGGGTCTCACTCTGTCACCCAGGCTGGAATGCAGTGGTGCAATCATGGCTTACTGTAGCCTTGACTGCCAGGGCTCAAGCCATCCTCCCACCTCAGCCTCCAGAGTAGCCGAGACTACAGATATGCACCACCACACCCAGGTAATTTTTAAATTTTGTGTAAAGATGGGGTCTCACTATGTTGCCCAGGCTGGTCTCAAATTCCTGGCCTCAAGTGATCCTCCTGCCTTAGCCTCCCAAAGTACTGGGATTATAGGCATGAGCCTATTTGTGCCTGGCCAGATAGTTTTAAATAATTTCTTTACATATTTTATCTCATCCTTCCAACAACCCTGTGAGGTAGATACTATTATTATCCCCATGTTAATACGAGATGAGAAAACTGAAACAAGTACAGATTAAGTATTTTACCTGAATCACACATTTATTGTAGGAAAAACCGGATTGGAACCAAGCATTCTGGCTTCAGGATACATACGCATGACTACTATCCTGGAAAACCTCCCCTAAGAGGTGGACGATGAACCAAATATGCAGAGGTGGATGAAACTCTTTTGTGCTTCTCCAGCAAAACGCGTGGTACATTCTCTAGACGTTTATGACCAGTTAAACAGGGAATTTAAAATAGTTTTCCCATGACAGAGAAAGACAAAGCGCTGGTGTTCTTGGCAGGAAATTCAAAGAAATATTTAAGGCAAGGGCTGACTCCCTTGGACCGGATGAAGGGGAAGAGCAGGTAATAATAGAGGGTTCTATGGATCGCAGAAACTTCCTGGGCAAGGAGGGTGGAGCTGGGGAGGGGTTTAAGAATTCCTGAAGGTCAAGCGATCTAGCCCAGCTGGGGTTTTCTCCTGCTTGGAGAGGGGTGCTATAAAAGCGCAGTTTGGGATTACTACTGTCGCCACTGCTCACCAAATTAAGTTATTCCGGGAGGGATCTTCTCGTCGCCATCCTCATTCCAACACACACCCATTGACACACTCGGGTTCGGCTGTGCGGTGCAACGAATTCCCAGGTGGGACACCCGAGCAGGAAGAAAGCCAGGCTGCGGGGCTGGGGGCGCCGCCCGGCCCGCGCCACAGTCCGCCTGGAGGATCACCGCCAGGGGGCACTCTCTCCGAACTCGGCCGCTCTGTCTCCTCCCCGGCGCGCTCCCTGCCCCTCGCTCCCCGCAGCCAGCAGAGAAGGCGGAAGCAGTGGCGTCCGCAGCTGGGGCTTGGCCTGCGGGCGGCCAGCGAAGGTGGCGAAGGCTCCCACTGGATCCAGAGTTTGCCGTCCAAGCAGCCTCGTCTCGGCGCGCAGTGTCTGTGTCCGTCCTCTACCAGCGCCTTGGCTGAGCGGAGTCGTGCGGTTGGTGGGGGAGCCCTGCCCTCCTGGTTCGGCCTCCCCGCGCACTAGAACGGTGAGTCTCCTTCAGGCGCCTCCTCCTGGCGGCCGCCGCCTCGCTTCCCAGCGGTCAGGGACGCCGCCCCCCGCCCCTTCGCTCTCGGCAGGTCGGGGACGCAGTCCCTGTCCCCTCGCTTCCCACCAGTCGGGGACGCCTCCCCTGTCCCTTCGCTTTTCACAGGTCAGGGACGCCGCCCCTACCCGCTTGCTTCCCACGGGTCGGGGACGCCGCCCCTGTCCTCTCGCTTCCCGCTGGTCGAGGACACCGTTCCCTGCCCCTCGCTTCCTGCAGGTCGGGACGCAGCCTCTGTCCCCACGCTTCCCACAGGTCGGGGACACCGTTCCCTGTCCCCTGACCTCTGCTCCCCAGGCCTCCTCTTCCTCGCTCATTCCACCCCCTAAAAAACCCCGCGTCGCCTTACTCAACCTCGCTCCCCTCAACTCCGCTTTTTCCCCTTCCCAGATAAGGAAATTGCCTCCTGCAGTTGTCCGCTCCTTGGAGCAAACACCTGCTTAAATTTTTAAAAAATCCTTTACGTTCCTGGCGACTCCGGCTGTCACTGTCATGGGAAAGCTATTTTTGGATTCCCTGTTGAACTCTATAGAAGTCTCAGGCAGCGAGTTTAAAAAAAAAAAAAGGCTCAGATGACACGAATGTTTTCTCCCCCGCCCCTAAACTCGGTAGTTCGAGCGATTGTTCCAGACGCCGGGTTGATAAAGCTGTTCCTAGTATTTGGCTTAAGGGGAACTCCAGCTGAGTTAGGACTGTCTTGAATGTGAACAGAAAGCACCTAAATAAAGTATTAGCAGCTTCGCTGTATGGTATTTAATTGTTTCTTTCTCTGAGAGCAGATTACTATTACTGAATGTCTTGTTACACAGGTTCCATGTAGAAACGAGAAAAACTGGTAAAGAAATTCTGTGTTGGCCTTGTGAACTTGGCCGCTATCATTTCATTCATTCTCCTTTGATTACTAGGGAAGGGAGAGGGGCTTTTCAAATTTTGAGGTTGAGTGTATAGGCAGGAACAATGTGGCCTCTTTTGTGACTCTAGGAAGGAGTCCGGCATGTGGTGGGTACAGGATCACATCAGAGTTTCAGCCTGCATGCACCACAATATTTCAGAATTGTAACATGAGCTCTTCTCTGTGATAAATTTGGGCATGTGATGCCGGTAAACTTTTGGACACTTAGATTTGGAGAGAAGTTCAAATCCTTGCCTCCTGGAGCAGAGTAAATAGTGCCCAGGAAGGGGAATGCCCCTTGAATTTGGATTCAAAGTTAAGGCACAACAGTTGAGTATTTTGCAGCATCTCTTGGCCATTGGAGTACATTTGTAGGTCTTCACACTTTAGAAATTTAAGAAGCTGGTAAACAGTTTCTGTTTCTAAAGCTAGTAGCACATTAAAGATAATTTCTCATATTTTCTTTACATGGTTTTACTTCAATAAGTTACATGTTTACTCGTATGAATTTCAGTTGACTTAAAATTGACTCATTTAAGACATAACTTGTTGACTTCTTTTAACTTGGCACATACCTCCTTAGCATCTGCCTTGGAGGACAAACTTTTTGTGGATTATCCTACTTCCCCCTCCCCCAAGACATGTTACAGTATTCTCTTTTGATTATAATGTACACCCAGATACTAATTCGTGAATTTAAGTCTTGATTTATGACAAGGCTGCTTTCAATACTACTCATTTTACGGCTGAAATAAGTTAGCAGTAGTTAACGTTCCACAATCTTTAAGGTAGTGCTTATCATACTAGATTTCGCAACTGCAAAAGGGGATTACAGTCAGGACACTCTTAACATACAAGTTAAGGAACAATTTATACTTTGTTCCATCCCTTCATTAATTCCTGTAGAAAGCCACGTAAGTATACTAGAATAGAGGCTGTAAGAAATTTTTATTTTAGGCCTGGCATAATGGCTCATGCCTGTAATCCCAGCACTTCGGGAGGCTGAGGTGGGAGGATAGCTTGAGACCAGCCTGGGCAATATGGCAAAATCCTGTCTCTACAAAAAAATACAAAAATTAACCAGGCTTGGTGGCACACACCTGTAGTCCCAGCTACTTGGGAGACTGAGGTGGGAGGATCACTTGAGCCCAAGAGGTGGAGGCTGCAATGAGCCATGATCGTGCCACTGCACTCCAGCCTGGGCAATAGAGCAGGACCCTGACAAAAAAAAAAGTGTGTGTATATATATGTATATATATACACATATATAAAATACATGTATATATGTGTATATATACACATATATAATATATACATATATTTGTATATGTTTATATGTATAATACATGTATGTATGTGTATATATACATATATACACGCGCGTGTATGTATACATATATACACGCTCGTGTATGTATACATATATACACGCGCGTGTGTATGTATACATATATACACGCGCGTGTATGTATACATATATACACGCGCGTGTATGTATACATATATACACGCGCGTGTATGTATACATATACATGTATATATACGTGTATACACGTATATATACATATATACATGTATATATGCATGTATACACGTATATATACATATATACATTTATGTATGTATAATACATGTATATATATATACATTTATGTATGTATAATACATGTATATATACATATATACATTTATGTATGTATAATACATGTATATATACATATATACATTTATGTATGTATAATACATGTATATATACATATATACATTTATGTATGTATAATACATGTATATATACATATATACATTTATGTATGTATAATACATGTATATATACATATATACATTTATGTATGTATAATACATGTATATATACATATATACATTTATGTATGTATAATACATGTATATATACATATATACATTTATGTATGTATAATACATGTATATATACATATATACATTTATGTATGTATAATACATGTATATATACATATATACACGTATATACATTTATGTGTATATACGTATATATACAAAGCACTTTTTGTTCTTCTCTTAGTGTTAGTTATCGTTATAATTAAGTTAGGTGATTTTTCCTTAAGTCATTGCAGTTCTTAAAACTAAAGGGACAAAATGTTTTACCAAAGAAAGAGGAAACAAAAATGCTAAGTGGCAGTCAAGAATTGTTTTTAACTTAATTTTCCCTTTATGTCTAGTTACATGAAACTAAATACTGTGGACTTAAAGGATAACTATATGAAAAAGTTTATTTGGAAAATAGAAAGCTTCTGGATTGCATCTTAAAGCGTGGAAAGTAATGTGAAACTTGAAGGCAAATAGATTTTGAACATGCTCACTTTTATGTGTCACACTGCATTCCCACAGTGGAGTTCCTTTTAAGGAATTATAACTGATTAGACAGATTTTCTTAGGAACACATTAGCTATAAAAGGTCTCTTCAGACCTAAAGACCTTCAAGCCTTTTGAACTGGACTGGAAGCAGGCAGTGTATAGACTATCCAATAAACTATATTTTAAACTGGACATTTGGGCAGAAAAGAAAAGATACACCTAGCTTCATAATTTCTGCCTTTGTCTTGTGGCCAGCACTTGGATATATGTCCTACACCAAATAACAAATACTAATTTCTCAAAAGTGATTTTACTTAAAAAAAAAATGGTTCAAGACTGAAATATACCTGATGTTGTCAAGCGTAGAGAAAATGGACTCTTGCATATATACTGTGCTTGTGTGAGTGGAAATTAGAATGTCTTTGATACATATTAGATAACCAGCATTATCTATCAGAAAGCTTAAAAAGTTACATACCCTCTGATCCAACAATTCTACCTCTAGGAAATTTACCTAAGGAAGTAATTGGACACAGAAATGTACAGATATACCTCATTTTATAGCACTGGTTTTTTGCACTTCCCGGATACTTTTTTGTTTTTTTTTTTTAACATATTGAAGATTTATGTCAACCCTGTGTTGTGCAAGTCTTTGCACGCCATTTTTCCAACAGCGTGTGCTCACTTTGTATTTGTCTGTCACATTTTTGTAATTCTTGGAATATTTTAAACTTTATTATGTCTGTTATAGTGATCTGTGATCAGCGATCTTTGATGTTACTATTGTAATTGTTGTTTTGGAGTACATGCACCACACCCATATGAGATGATGAACTTAATAAATGTGAGAGCTCTGACTGCTCCACTGACCAGCTGGTTCCCTTACTGTCCCTCTCCTCAGGCCTCCCTACTCCCCTGAGACACAGCAATATTGAAATTAGACCAATTAATAATCCTACAATGGCCTCTAAGTGTTCAAGTAAACCAAAGAGCCACATGTCTGTCACTTTAAATCAAAAGCTAGAAATAATTATGCTTACTGAAGAAGGCACATCAGAAGTCAAAATGGGCCATTTAGCCAAATTGTGAATAGAAAGGAAAAGTTTTTGAAGGAAATTAAAAGTGGTACTCCAGTGAACTCACTAATAAGAAAGTGAAACAGCCTTATTGCTGATATGGAGAAAGTTGTAATGGTCTGGATGGAAGATCAAACTAGCCACAACATTTCCTTAATCCAAAACCTAATCCAGAGCAAGGTCCTAATTCTCTTCAATTCTGTAAAGTTTGAGAGAGGTGAGGAAGCTGCAAAAGAAAAGTTGGAAGCTAACAGAGATTGGTTTATGAGGTTTAAGGAAAGAAACGCATCTCCGTAACATAAAAGTGCAAGATGAAAGAGCAAGTGTTGATGTAAAACTACAGCACATTATCTAGAAGATCTAGCTACGATCGTTGATGAAGGTGGCTACACCAGACAACAAATTTTCAGTGTATACTTAACAGCCTTTTATTGGAAAAAGATGCCACCTAGGATGTTCATAGCTACAGACAAGTCTATTCCTGGCTTCAAAATTTTAAAGGACAGGCTGATGACGTTTTTGTTAGGGGCTAATGCAGCTGGTGAATGTTGAGTTGACACCAGTGCTCATTTACACTTTTGAAAATCCTAGAGCCCTTAATAATTATACTAAATCTACTCTGCCTGTGCTTTATAAAGGTAACAACAAAGCCTGGATGACAGCGTATCTGTTTACAGCGTAGTTTACTGAATATTTTAAGCCCACTGTCAAGAACTGTTCAGGAAAGAGAGATGCCTTTCAAAATATTACTGCTCATTAACAATGCACCTAATCACCCAAGAGCTCTGATGGAGATGTTCAAGAAGATTAATGTTGTTTTCATGCCTGCTAATATAACATTCATTTTGTAGCCCATGGATCAAGGAGTCATTTAGACTTCCAAGTCTTATTATTTAAAACATGCATTTCATAAGGCTATAGCTGCCATAGAGAATGAGCCCCCGATGGATCTGGACAAAGTAAATTGAAAACTTTCTGGAAAGGATTCACCTTTCTAGATGCCATTAAGAACATTTGTGGCTCATGGGAGGAGGTCAAAATATCAGCCTTAACAGGAGTTTGAAAGAAGTTGAACTTGAAAGAAGCCCTCATGGATGACTTTGAGGAGTTCAGGACTTCATTAGAAGTCACTGAAGATGGTAGAAATAGCAAGAGAACTAGAATTAGAAGTGGAGTCTGAAGATATGACTGAATTTCTGCAGTCTCATGGTAAAAAACTTGAACAGATGAGGAGTTGCTTCTTATGGATGAGCAAACAGTGGTTTTTTGAGATGGAATCAACTCCTGGTGAGGATGCTGTGAACATTGTTGAAATAACAACAAAGGATTTAGAATATTCTACAAACTTAGTTGATAAAGTAGTGGGAGAATTTGAGAGGATTAACGCTATTTTTGAAAGAAGTTCTCGTGGGGTAAAATGCTATCAAACAGCATCACATGCTACAGAGAAATACTTCATGGTAGCAAACTTCATTGTTGTATTATTTTGAGAAATTTTCACAGCCACCTCAACCATCAGCAGCCACCAACCTGATCAGTCAACAGCCATCAACATTGACGCAGGACCCTCTACCAGCAAAAAATATTATAGCTCGCTGAAGGCTCAGATGATCGCTAGCATTTTTTAGCAATAAGGTGTTTTTAAATTAAGGTATATACATTGTCTTTTTAGACATAATGCTATTGCACACTTAATAGACTACTGTATAGTGTAAACATAACTTTGTATGGGAAACAAAAAAATTGTATTACTTGCTTTATTATGGTATTTGGATTATTGCGGTGGTTTGGAACTGAATCCAAAATGTCTGAGTATGCCTGTATATGGGAATAAAAATAACAAAGGATATATACCCTAGTGTAGCATAACAGCATCATTTGTCCTCAGATTTGGAAGGTATAAAGGGGGCCCTATACCGTATTTTACGACCCAGCTGTAGTGACTAGTTCTGCTATTTTCTGCTGTCTTGCCATTGTTTGCTTCCTTTCAATCTGTATGAACCTTCCCTAGGAGTCCACATCAGATATAGCAAGGCCATGGGAGCTATTTTTAACTTCGGGAATACTGTATCAAAACTAAATAAACCACAGCCGGGCTCGGGGGTTCGTGCCTTAATCTCAACACTTTGGGAGGCCAGGGCAGGTGGATCGTTTGAGGTGAGGAGTTCCAGACCAGCCTGGCCAACATGGCAAAACCCCGTCTCTACTAAACACAAAAATTAGTTGGGCGTGGTGGCGGGCGCCTGTAATCCCAGCTATTGGGGAGGCTGAGGCGGGAGAACCCAGAGGCGGGGGTTGCAGTGAGTCGAGATCGTGCCATTGCACTCCAGCCTGAGCGACAGAGTGAGACTCTGTCTCAAAAAAAAAAAAAAAAACTTAAGTAAACCACATGCCAAGTTTCTTTGCAGATTCTTTGGAATTCTGTCAATGTAGTGTAGTAGTGCTGGACAGACCATGTTTAATAGTAGCTGTGGCCAGCACTTTAGTGTAATAAAATAAAGGCAAATAAATTTTAAATGCAGCTTCATGGACAAATTGGTCAAAACATGGATAAAAGTAGTGTATTACAAAGTGCAAAGCTCCAAGGTCAGGTAGACGTGGGTTCTGATCCCAACTCTGTTACTTATTAGTTGGGTAATCTTAGGTAAGTTACTTAACCTTTTAAGCTCCATAGTTACCACTTTGATAAGTGGTGACAACAAAACTTAAATACTACATAAAGTTGTTGTAATAATTCATTCTTACTGCCTGGCACTGTTCTAAGTGCTTTGCACATATTAACACATTTAATCTTCTCAGTAACTCAAGTGGATTTTATTGTTAGAACCATTTTACAGATGAGAAAATTGAAGCACAGAAAGGTTATATAATTTGCCCAGCTCATAAATGGAAGAAAAGAGTTAAATTCGTATCATTCAATTCCAGCACCTGAGCTCATCACCACTTATTAGCACTGCGTTTCCAGCCAGAATAGTACCTCATTGTAGGCGGTCATCAAGTGCTACTCAGAATCTTTGAAAAGAATAAAAAGGTATTTGTAGTGGTAAAAGGATTGAGTACTACTGTCTTAATCCTCGATTTGGTGAAGTGGCAGCCAGGAATTTTATATAAAAGTGAGACAAGCAGGAGAATATGACTGGAGGCCTACATTCTGTTTCTTGAATGATATCTGACACATACTAGAAATTTTTTTCAAAAGTAATTATTTAAAATACAGTTGTGGTTACATGGGCTGTGAATTGCTTTTAAATATTAGCTTCTCGCCTGTAAATACCATAATGGTTTAGAATTTGAGGATATCTCATCTGCTCATGAAACCAATAGTTTTCCATAGGCAAACAAAACATCACTTGTTTTTCCAGTCATTAATAATGAAACATAGTCACTTGACCTGACTGAAGGCAGAAGGACATAAAAATACACTTTTTCAATTCTATTTTTAATACCTAATAGAAATCTCCACACTGAGCATTTGGAAGTCCTTATAGAATTTTAGACCTAGAAGAAAAAACCAAGATCTAAATGGTTAAGTAACTTGCACTAAATCACACATCTAACAGTGGCACATGATCACCTGATTCCTTGCGTACTGCTTTTCCTGGCACTGAGCTGCTAGCCATACTATTCCCTTCAGCTCAGGATACTTCAAGGAACTTCAACAACATGGATAAGTTCTTTAGCGATGCTTAGTGAACACTTACTGTATGAAAAATCGTGTGCTAAGTACTGCGGAAATGGAAATTAAAATATTTAGCTCAATCACAGGAAACAAACATGTAAACAGATAATTGTGATATAGAAGAGTATTACAACTGAGGTGCTTCTCCTTTTTTAACTTTATATGCTGTCGTTCTACTAGATCATGAACTTCTGAAGGGACCCAGCTTTCTTTGTGTGCTCCAAGTGATTTGCACAAATAATAATATATATATTTATTGAAGGAGAGAATCAGGTAACTTATAATAGTCATGAAAAAGCTCAAAACACTTTTAAAAGTTTTCTGTAAATAACATTAATACAGCTGATGTACATGAATTAAAAAGTGACTTGTATAGATAAGCTATGATATATATGTGTGGGGTGTGAGTGTGTGTGTTACTTATAAAGGCATTTTTTTCTTGCTATTTCTACAGAGCAAGTGATAATCAAGTTACTATGAGTCTGCTAAACTGTGAAAACAGCTGTGGATCCAGCCAGTCTGAAAGTGACTGCTGTGTGGCCATGGCCAGCTCCTGTAGCGCTGTAACAAAAGATGATAGTGTGGGTGGAACTGCCAGCACGGGGAACCTCTCCAGCTCATTTATGGAGGAGATCCAGGGATATGATGTAGAGTTTGACCCACCCCTGGAAAGCAAGTATGAATGCCCCATCTGCTTGATGGCATTACGAGAAGCAGTGCAAACGCCATGCGGCCATAGGTTCTGCAAAGCCTGCATCATAAAATCAATAAGGTACGTGAGCATAAGAAAAAATGGTGTCCTATAACAGAACCAGATGCAGAGAACATTGTTACATAGAACATGGAACATCCCAAAAGTAGTCTTACACATAAAAAGCTACTTAGGAAAAAAGAACAATGGACAGAAAATTGAGAAAGTTAGATTCTTATCCCAGTTTCCACTGTTGTGTGAAAAGTGACTTGAATCTCCTCCTCTCTTGACCCTTGGATAAATAAGTAAATAATTTGCTACTTTTACTTAAAGCAATTCTAATGCAGACTGGGGAGTGACTCTATGCTTTAAAGAAAATAGTATTTTTTAAATGTACCTTAAATTATGATGCTACTAGATAAGGATAATCTCAACCACACAAAGAATACTGACTCTGTAAGTGATCAGTTATTGTGATTTTAGGCATGTTAAATCTTGTTTATTACCTAAAGTGTATGGTCAACTGTAAAATTACCAGTATTTTTAAAGAAAGTATTAACTGAAGGCTCTACCTTCATAATATATCCAAAATCCAGTCCCTTCTCACTTCCTCCCTCTGCTACCACCCTGTTGTGACTCACCACCAGCTCTCTAACAGGCCTCCTGCTTTCTATTCTTGTCTTCCAGGCTGTTCTCAATACAGCAGCGGGAGTGGACCTAGTAAAATAAGTAAGATGATGTCATCTCTGCTCAGACCATTGTAGCAGGGTATCTGGGAGTAAAAGCTAAAATCCTTATAAGACCCTGTGTGATAGGCCCATGATTCATTTCCTGACCTCTTTTCTGCTGCACTCTTTGTCCTTCTACCCATTCATTCCCTCTTTGCTATCCCTTGAACATGTCAGGCATGCTCCTGCCTTGGTGAGTGGTGGCTTTAGCTCTTCTGTTTGTAACACTCTTGCCACAGCTAACCCCTTAACTCTTCCACTTTGGCTCAAATCTCACCTTCTCATAGGTCCCCTCACCACCGTATTTATACCACAGCGTGGTTCCACCTTTCTTGCCGAACAATCCCAATCTCTCCACCTGGCCCTAATTTTCTTTTTTCCCTTAGCACTTTCTGCCTTCTAAAGCACCAAATAATTTATGTGTTTATTGTCTGCCCCACTGGATGATAAGCTCCTTGAGAGCAAAGTATTAGATCTGTTTTATTTCTTGATTTTTCCCAAGTTCTGGAAATAGTGCCTGACCCATAGTAGATGATCAGTAAATCATGGTTGCTTTAACTGAATGAAAGTACTTGCAATTTCCATGGAAATAGATACATTTTACTATAATTCAAAAGTACATGGGAATTTTGTAGGTAACTAAGGAGTCCTATACAGGACAAAAAATTGGATGAAGGGGGGCAGATTTTATGTTCTTCAATAAATAGCCATCTAGTTATATTAGTGAATTCATTATAAGTCTGTCCTGGCAATTTGTTAGTCTCCAAAGTTTTTATCTGCCAACTTTTACATTAACTTTTCTATAAAACTTGAATTTAAGAGTAACTACATCCATACTCGGGACTTGGCTTAATTTAAATCACAAAAGATAATGTCTGCTGTTTCAATTTTGGGGAAAGATGTATTACACAGCGCTGACTTAACAAGATCTATTTTGGGTAGATTTTTCTCAACCTCCACATTATTTTATTTTTGAGATGGAGTCTTGCTCTGTCTCCCAGGCTGAAGTGCAGTGGCGCGATCTCGGCTCACTGCCATGCCCAGGAAGGTAGCTAATCTTCAGCAGCTTTTTAATAGCAAGATGTTCATGAAAGTAGTGGGACAGTGGTCTGAAAAGGAAATACAACCCACAAAAAGAAGTCTGAGGCTTTTTTTTTTCTGTCTCCCTGTAAGCTTTTTAAAAATGAACACTTAGCCCCAGTGTTCTTAAAGGAACTGCTCTGAAATTTCTCATTGAGTATGTTCACTCAAGGAATCAAAGTGCATCTCAATACAATCCCATTTTCTTTTTCTGAGGATAGTTTTTTCCATCATAAGAAAGAATAAACCACTGAGAAGCAGGACATAGAGGTCCTTTAACTTTCTGTAACATTGGACCCTAGACATACAAATAAAGGAAACTTTTGTTGCCTGTTAGCTGGAGTGTTATAGTGACTATTTCAGAGTAAACTTTAAAATGTGACCTCACGGAGGTACTGCTAAGTGCTTAAATTTTTACTTATGACTGAGCAATTGCATTATAGACATGTTATTGGTACTGTGAGCAGCATATTCCATCTTTCTAGTGTATTATATAGGTGTGACAACACAGAGGCCAGACTGCCAAAATTCCCATTCTTTCACTTCATTTTGTACCAATCAAAATACCTTATTCAGCTAATTTTTCTCAAAAAGCTGGAATCTATCCCACCATATAAAAATCCCTTAGCTTTTGATAGGTTATCAGTATGCTAGTTGTACTCATTTCATAAAAGAACAGTTTGTAAGCTCTCCATAAAAGGACAGTTTGTTTTGGTGACCTGCAATATAATATGTTAAATTGTTTTTACTTATGAAACAGTAAATGGAGAATTTATATATGGTGAATTAAAGTTGTTTGGATTTTCTAATGTGAGTCTTTAAATCTAATTGTGTGTATTTTGTTTCTGTTAGGGATGCAGGTCACAAATGTCCAGTTGACAATGAAATACTGCTGGAAAATCAACTATTTCCAGACAATTTTGCAAAACGTGAGATTCTTTCTCTGATGGTGAAATGTCCAAATGAAGGTTGTTTGCACAAGATGGAACTGAGACATCTTGAGGTATTAAAGTTCTTTTCTAGCTGTTAGCACATGTATAAAAGGAAGTTCCTACAGAATAGGGACTTTGCTGTGTCCATCTGTGTATTGCCAGTACCTAGCATATGATGATTGGTTAATAAATTCTTGCTGAATTAATGCCAACCCTTTAATTATTGAATATAAATGTAAGTAGAAACCAGAAATATACTGTTTTATCTACTCTGGCTTTGCCCAGCAGTAATTTTTTTAAAAAATCAGTATTGTTTCATAAGCTTTTGGTAAGCTTTATCTGCAGTAAACCTGAGGAGCATTTTAAATACAGGTGTCGGCCAGGCACAGTGGCTCACGCCTGTAATCCCAGCACTTTGGGAGGCTGAGGCAGGCGGATCACGAGGTCAGGAGTTCAAGACCAGCCTGACCAATATAGTGAAACCCCGTCTCTCACTAAAAATACAAAAATTAGCCAGGCATGGTGGCGTGCACCTGTAATCCCAGCTACTCAGGAGGCCAAAGCAGGAGAATCACTTGAAACCAGGAGGTAGAGGTTGCAGTGAGCCGAGATCACGCCACTGCACTCCAGCCTGGGCGACAGAGCGAGACTCTGCCTCAAAAAAAAAAAAAAAAAATACAAGTGTCACATTTTAATCTTGCAATTTCATTTTTGTCATTTTGAAATAAGCAGTAATTCCCAAGTAATCATCTCAGTATCCTCATTATACTTTTTTCTGTTTTTCTAAATTGTGCATTTTATTATGAACTAAGTGGAATACGCCTATAGTTTCAGATTAACAGAAACAATCAGATTATAAAATAATTTGCTTTTATACTAAATAGATCAATTATTAGCTTGGTGATTTTTACCAGAAATTAAATTTAGTGTTATATTTGAAATTAAATGTTTAAGGCAGATATACTACTTGCTCCTTTTACTTATTAGCTCTTAAAAGAGAGTGGCCTTTTTGACACAGTAATAAATTGATAAATAGGAAATCTGACTTCTTTCCAACACTCTTTGCTAGTTGGATGCATGAACTTGAGAATTCACATCCTTTGTATAAATTTGCAACCCATGACCATTTTAAAAAATTCGCTAAAGACGTTCATATTGTGAATGGTTCTGTGGTGTGCATTAGACAAAGTAGGTTCAGTAGCCTGCTGAAAGAGAACAGTATATGATTAGGAGAGCTTATATGTAGAAGACTTCAGAGTTGGCTAATGCTAATCCATTATTTTTTTAATTATAGGATCATCAAGCACATTGTGAGTTTGCTCTTATGGATTGTCCCCAATGCCAGCGTCCCTTCCAAAAATTCCATATTAATATTCACATTCTGAAGGATTGTCCAAGGAGACAGGTTTCTTGTGACAACTGTGCTGCATCAATGGCATTTGAAGATAAAGAGGCATGTACTAACTTGGATTTGTTAAATTCACTACTTCTTAAAATATTGTTCTTAAATGTGTACTTGAGGGGGTTAGCAGTAGATAAGGATGTGACTCCGACTCTGAGTCTACATTATCAATTTTGGGAAAAATGATTTTTAAGAAAAAGAAGGTTCAATAAGCCATTTTAGTACATAAGTGTAGAATTTGTTTTGCATGTCTTTCTTAAAAAAACATTTATACTAGTTATCACTATTGTAGATATGCAAGTAACAGAACTTCTAAGAAAGGCATATGCCGATCAGCTTTCCTGTGTGATATTTTAATAACCAATTTTGGATTGGAGACAAACAAGTAGATTAAGATAAGATCTACACAAAATTATTCTGAGAAACAGAATAGGTTGTTCTAACTATTACAAAGAATAAATCAAACCCACAAAGTATGTTTTCTTGATGATACTTTATCGTGCAGCGTATATAATGTATTTACTTCTCATTTTGTATGTTAAATTTAAAAGTTTATCCTTTTTTTTTTTTCTTTTTTTGAGACAGAGTTTCACTCTTGTTGCCCAGGCTGGAGTGCAATGGCATGATCTCAGCTCACCACAACCTCAGCCTCCTGGGTTCAAGCGATTCTCCTGCCTCAGCCTCCTGAGTAGCTGGGATTACAGGCACGTGCCACCATGCCCGGCTAATATTTTTGTATTTTTAGTAGAGACGAGGTTTCTCCATGTTGGTCAGGCTGGTCTCGAACTCCCGACCTCAGGTAATCCGCCCGCCTTGGCCTCCCAAAGTGCTGGGATTACAGGCACGAGCCATCATGCCAGGCCAAAAGTTTATCTTTTAAAAAGAAACTTGGTAGTGCCTAACAGCATCATGATTATAGGACAGTTTTTATATTCAGAAACTGAGATAGATTAAGTAGACTTGTATTAATATTGCCAATAAAAAAAGCTAACCCTGAAATCGAAGCCCTTGATCCCTATCCTATGTATACTTTTATAAAATAACCTACATATAATTTATGTTTTTATTCTGTTACTTAGATACTTCCTTAAACTATAGTTTTTATAAATTCACGTTGGCAGTTTTTCCCCACTTTGAGATCAAGCATATTTTATCCATTACATTGATAAAATATTCAAAAAAAGTTAGCTAACTTGGTATAAATGTAGAGAAGTCTCAGTCATAATTAGAGTAAAATGACAACTCCTTTTTTTCTTTATTTTTTTGGAGATGGAGTTTCACTCCTGTTGCCCAGGCTGGAATGCAATGGCGCAATCTCGGCTCACCACAACCTCTGCCTCCTGGGTTCAAGCGATTCTCCTGCCTCAGCCTCCCAAGTAGCTGGGATTACAGGCATGCATCACCATGCCCGGCTAATTTTGTGTTTTTAGTAGAGATGGGGTTTCTCCATGTTGGTCAGGCTGGTCTCGAACTCCTGACCTCAGGTGATCTGCCCTCTTTGCCTCCCAAAATGCTGGGATTACAGACATGAGCCACCACGCCCGGCCCGACAACTCCTTTCTAAACTTTAGTAAATTAGATTGACTTAACCTGGAAGGCTAATTATTTCTCAGCACATCAACTAAAGTCATTATATTCTAGAAAATAAGGCTTACCCTTCTGGGGCATATGAGAAACTGAGCACCAAATCCTCATGTCCTAATAAAAGATTTGTTCTTTAACTCTACTGACAAGAAATTTTAATTAAATTGTCATGCTGCTGCTGAAAATTTTTGTAAGATTACCTTTGGAGAAGTATAGCCTCGGCAGATGATGTCCAAAGTAGATACAGGTGTACCACCTCAGGATAAAAGGAAGGGATTTGAAAAATTATTTTTTATATACTACCCTGCTCTTTTAAAGAGCTGGAAAGTTGAATGAATCTCATTATTACACTGGGAAAGAGAAAGAAAATAGCCTTTATATATTACTCTCACTTTCACTCACTTTTGCTTTGTACAAATTGATGTCCTTATTTGTTTATAGTGAAAAATTGCTTTTTATCAAAATTAGTTGTTTTCACTTTTTCAGATATTCTCATGCTTTAATTATATTTCTCTAATAAAATTCAGATCCATGACCAGAACTGTCCTTTGGCAAATGTCATCTGTGAATACTGCAATACTATACTCATCAGAGAACAGGTATTATTCATTTTCATAAATTATTATTTTCATAAACAGCTTAAAGAAGTGAATTAGGTTTTTTAATTGAAAATTTAAATCAATAAGGCAAAGAAATACAGATTGAAGAAGTATTAGAGCTGTGTGAAAATTTTTTATATAAATTAATATAAGTAATAAATACTTTCAGGGAGAACAAAACATCCAGCCCTTTTTAAGTACTTAAAATTCCTAAGTCATTAACATAATACCTGTGCTTTTGTATATTCATAAAAATTCCCAACAAAACCAATTTTAAGATAAAAATAATCAAAAGTAAGGGTCCCCATTTAAAGAAAGAAAAAACTAAGATATATATATATATATTTACACACTGTGAAATGAGGATCTCAAGTGTCCAGAGATTGGCTGAAAGAATAAGAGGGAACAGCGAAATAAAGGAAGGCAGTTCTGTTCAGTAGGAGAATAATATTTGTAGCTGTAATCCCTGAGGCATACAGGGAAGTTTTCAGATTTTTAGGACCTGTAGCCCTTCTGTTCAGTTGTCCTGTAGGCCACTGACCGGGCATCATTAGAAGTAGTAATTGTAATAGAAAATTATATGGTGGGGTTTTTTTGTTTCTTGAGATAGAGTCTCACTCTGTTGCCTAAGCTGGAGTGCATTGACACAGTCATGGCTCACTGCAGCCTCAAATTCCTGGCTCAGGCGATCCTCCTACCTCAGCCTCCCAAAGAGCTGGGACTACGGGCGTGCACCACCATGCCCGGCTAATTTTTTATTTTTTTAGATTTTTTGTAGAAACGGGGTCTTGTTATATTGCCTAGACTGGTCTCGAACTCCTGAGCTCAAGCAATCTACCTGCTTTAGCCTCCCACAGTGCTAGAATTATAGGTGTGAGCCACCAAGCCCAGCCCAAAGATTGTTTTGACTATTAGTAGAGAAAGGAAAATTCCATCTGATTGCTATCTTCTGACATTTGGGGAGTTTACCCACAAAATATGAATATTAACCATTAAATATTTATATACCCATGAAATCTGTAAACCCAGAGATCATTATTGATATACCTTACTGAGAAGCAGCAAGCAAAACCTGTCACTGGACAAGTTTGTTAACCTTAAAACTTTTTCATTGGTTTGTTAACAGTCTCTTAATTTTTCCAACAAAGCCTTAATTTGAAGGTGTTAAACATCTTTTGCTTATGAAGTCCTAACTCGTTTTCCTTTTTGCTGTCTTTTAACATTTAAAGGAAACCATGCAACAAATTAAAACCCAGCAAAAGAAAATACAAGAAAAAACCCTAGGCTAAGAGTCAGAAAACCTGGGTTTTAGTCCTAGGTTTAAACTGTGATTTTAACTGTGCCCTCTCATCTTTAACAAGTTGACATTCTAAATAGATCTGGGATCAGCAAACTGGCCTGCCAGCTAGATCTGTCTCTCTACCTGTTTTTGTAAATAAAGTTTTATTGAAAGACAGTCATACCCATGTGTGTATGTCTTGTGTATGGCTACTTTTGTATGACAATGGTAGAGTTTAATACTTAGGACAGAGGCAGTACAGCCCATATTTACTATCTGATCCTTTACAAAAAATTTTATTGGCCCCTGTTCTACACTGTTCCCTCTTGAGAAATGAAGGATTGAATTATAATAAATGGTCTCTCAGGTACTTCCTGTTTGAAATATCTACAACTATAGCTACATTAAATTTCTAAAGGGAATTTGGCACCTCTTTGAAAAAATATGATTGAGTATAAAGGATCTTACCTTAGAGAATGTGTCTTAGAGTCCCAAAATCCAGGACTGAGACTTTTTTTAGAGCTTCTATTAATGTGTTTAAAGTACCTTCTAACATCTGAGTCTCCCCATTGTAGCTAAAATATGCCCAGCTTAACAAAAGTTAAGAAGATTGTTGAAAGGTGGTCAAAGATGATTTTTGAGAGGTGGTCATGAGGCAAGTATGGGTGTAGTCAGTGGCTTCAGTGCATGCAGTTGACTGGTTCCTATTAAATGGCCTAGACCATAGTGGGAGTCTTAATCCAGTTTGCACTTGTAGCTATTGTTAGGTGTTTTTTCTGTAAAGTGCCACTAGAGGGTGCCAGTTCCCAGCAAGAGGAACAAATTCATTTTCTTGAAATGAATTTTGGATAATTGGAGGGGATATTATGAGATGTTGATATTTCCTTTCTCTATAACTTTTGAAAGTAGATGTTCTTTTAATTTTTGTGGGTGATGGTTTATGCTGCACCTATTCAACTGCCAATGTGGTACAAAGCAGCCATTGACAATACAGTTTAAATGTGATCGCATCAAACTAGAAAATGATATGCAAGGAAGAGATTTTTCAGCCTTTGTTTTGGATTTCAGATGCCTAATCATTATGATCTAGACTGCCCTACAGCCCCAATTCCATGCACATTCAGTACTTTTGGTTGCCATGAAAAGGTAAGGTTTTTTTTTCTTTTAATTCTTGAATATAAGTAAAAAAAAATATTTACATCATGTAGTGGAGAATAACAACAAGAATGTAGATGTAGTTGTAAAGCAGTGTAATAAGTGATATAATAGAGTTATTCATGGATGCTGTGAGCAGAAGCAAAGGCATACTTAGCAATGCCTAAAGCATTCAGACAGACTTGACAAAACATGATGCTTTGGGCTGAATCTTGACAGGTGAAATAGTTTTCCAAGAAGACAAAGGAGAGAAGACCAGTGAGAAAGAGTGAGCATGGTGATTTGAGGAACTACAAGTAGTTTGTGTTGTGCTAGTTCAACCCAATAGCAATGTAGATGATTTGAGGTGGAGGTGGGGGTACTAGTACCTGAGCTGTT
Organism: Homo sapiens; assembly: GCF_000001405.40. Classification (NCBI taxonomy): domain Eukaryota; kingdom Metazoa; phylum Chordata; class Mammalia; order Primates; family Hominidae; genus Homo; species Homo sapiens. Next base: position 36,492,163 of record NC_000011.10, on the reverse strand, counting down.
GGAATACCTAAGTGAAGACAGCTTGAATTATGGCGATGACCGTCAAGATAGACCTAGGAGCCAGTACATATTTAGGAGAGAAGATCTACTGCCTGTGTGACTAAATAAATGTGATGAGTGAAGGAGAGGGAGGCGTCTAGAATGACTCTTGGTTTCTGGCCTTTGTCACTGGGTAGATGGAAGGGCCATTCGGCAAAAAAGAGTGAACACAGGAAGAACTGACTGGAGGTAGAGTTTAAAAAAAAAATCTGTTTTAATGTATTGAATTACAGATAATGACTTCACCCAGCTAGGGAACAGGTGGGATGACTGACATGCATTATGTGCTGTCTTAAGCCCCAAAGAGAAATTAGGACTCAGAGTATTGATTTGGGAAAGTGATTTGTGGTAATAATGGAAGTTGTGATTGAGATCATATGGCGTATGTACAGGAAAGAGAAGTATGCCAAGGAAAAGAGCCATGAACAAACAGTATAAGAAACAGATGAACCAGGCAAAGAGAAAGTAGTATTATGGTCTCCAAAATTAGTTTCAAGATTCATGATCAGTAGTGTCAAATGTCTGAGATTGATCATTGTTTATGATATGTCTTTCTTTTTGGAGAGTGCAGTTACACTTTTGGTTTTCCATTATACTTTTTTTTCCCTGACTTATGTGTAACAAACATACATTTAATAATTTAAAAAATAAAATGAGCAAAATGGTATGGTTGTATTTTGTGGGAAAATTCTGTATTGTGCTTAGAGAAAAAGAAAGAAATAAAATGTTAATGGAAGTTAGGTGAGATATTAGGTAACACCCTTTTTGGTCATCTATATTTTCTAGGTTTTTTAAAGACTATATGACCTTTTATAATAAAAATTGTTGTATTATGAATGTTTTTCGTATAATAGGGTGTTCTTAATGACCTTAGAATGGCATGGTGCCAGGAGAAATTCCAATTTGCAATAGATTTGTATACTGGGAATTGCAGACAATACAGGTAGACTATATTCTTGACTTTAAAAAAAATGGTATTAATATTAACTAGAGAGAGACAAAAGCTCTTCAGAGAGGTTTGTCCTTTTTTGATGGGAAAGACTTCAATAATTGTATTCTAAAGGAAAGTGTTAGAGGAAGAGATGTTTAAAGATGAAGAAAAATCACTGAGTAAAATCTCTGGGGTGTCGCAACAGGTCAGGTAACATTTAGAGCACAGGTAGAATGTTAATCTTGGAGAGGACAGGCATCTCAGTTAGAAAAGAAGGATGTGTGTAAATACATTTTTTGTAGGTGGGAGGGAGATTTATGTGAGTGAAAGCTGGGAGAGTAGTCATCAGATAGTCTGTTTTTCAGTGAACTAAGAGGCAGAGTCGCCTCATTGGATCAAGAATCTGTTGAAGGCAAAGGAAAATTGTAGAGAATTGAGGGAAGTGGTGTGACTACTTGAAAACTTCTTATTTGACCTGGCCAGGTCCTTTTCCTACTCCTCACGGTATCTATTCCCAGCCTAAGGCTTGTGCTTGATTTTTAGATGCAGAGGAATCACTTGGCACGCCACCTACAAGAGAACACCCAGTCACACATGAGAATGTTGGCCCAGGCTGTTCATAGTTTGAGCGTTATACCCGACTCTGGGTATATCTCAGAGGTCCGGAATTTCCAGGAAACTATTCACCAGTTAGAGGGTCGCCTTGTAAGACAAGACCATCAAATCCGGGAGCTGACTGCTAAAATGGAAACTCAGAGTATGTATGTAAGTGAGCTCAAACGAACCATTCGAACCCTTGAGGACAAAGTTGCTGAAATCGAAGCACAGCAGTGCAATGGAATTTATATTTGGAAGATTGGCAACTTTGGAATGCATTTGAAATGTCAAGAAGAGGAGAAACCTGTTGTGATTCATAGCCCTGGATTCTACACTGGCAAACCCGGGTACAAACTGTGCATGCGCTTGCACCTTCAGTTACCGACTGCTCAGCGCTGTGCAAACTATATATCCCTTTTTGTCCACACAATGCAAGGAGAATATGACAGCCACCTCCCTTGGCCCTTCCAGGGTACAATACGCCTTACAATTCTTGATCAGTCTGAAGCACCTGTAAGGCAAAACCACGAAGAGATAATGGATGCCAAACCAGAGCTGCTTGCTTTCCAGCGACCCACAATCCCACGGAACCCAAAAGGTTTTGGCTATGTAACTTTTATGCATCTGGAAGCCCTAAGACAAAGAACTTTCATTAAGGATGACACATTATTAGTGCGCTGTGAGGTCTCCACCCGCTTTGACATGGGTAGCCTTCGGAGGGAGGGTTTTCAGCCACGAAGTACTGATGCAGGGGTATAGCTTGCCCTCACTTGCTCAAAAACAACTACCTGGAGAAAACAGTGCCTTTCCTTGCCCTGTTCTCAATAACATGCAAACAAACAAGCCACGGGAAATATGTAATATCTACTAGTGAGTGTTGTTAGAGAGGTCACTTACTATTTCTTCCTGTTACAAATGATCTGAGGCAGTTTTTTCCTGGGAATCCACACGTTCCATGCTTTTTCAGAAATGTTAGGCCTGAAGTGCCTGTGGCATGTTGCAGCAGCTATTTTGCCAGTTAGTATACCTCTTTGTTGTACTTTCTTGGGCTTTTGCTCTGGTGTATTTTATTGTCAGAAAGTCCAGACTCAAGAGTACTAAACTTTTAATAATAATGGATTTTCCTTAAAACTTCAGTCTTTTTGTAGTATTATATGTAATATATTAAAAGTGAAAATCACTACCGCCTTGTGCTAGTGCCCTCGAGAAGAGTTATTGCTCTAGAAAGTTGAGTTCTCATTTTTTTAACCTGTTATAGATTTCAGAGGATTTGAACCATAATCCTTGGAAAACTTAAGTTCTCATTCACCCCAGTTTTTCCTCCAGGTTGTTACTAAGGATATTCAGGGATGAGTTTAAACCCTAAATATAACCTTAATTATTTAGTGTAAACATGTCTGTTGAATAATACTTGTTTAAGTGTTCCTTCTGCCTTGCTTACTTATTTCCTTGAGGTTACGAAGTAGCATCTTCCCCAGAGTTTATAATGCTGAGAACCACGTGGATACCAACTGCTCATTGTTATGCTATGTAACCCTTTTTGTCTATTCAGTGCAGAGTGAATTTCACAGCTCTGCATATGTCTTCATTTGTTTAATGCTTACAAGACAGGAGATGCACACATACAATCAGCAACATAAAAATTAAAAGTGACCCAAGTAGTCAGCGCATGTGGCATCTCATTGGTGGTGACAGAAGCTATGTGAGCCAGAAGTTTTCAGCTCTTTTGAATACCCTCTGGTTTATTTCGATTAAAAAGAACAAAATTGATTTCCTAAAATCAGAATTTTTTAAAACTTGGGAGATGATTGGAGATACCTAGGAGGTCACCAAACTAGGATTAGAAGTCACAGTGGTTGTATCACAACTTAGCTTGAGTATGTTGCTGTAGCCTAACAACTGCAGGTTCTGAGAAGGATCCTGTAGAATCCTGGAAGTAACCAGATTTTCCTAATAGGGAGATGATTTTTTTGTGTGCCATCATGTATTTGTTAAAGGCCTATATATAGATATAAAATATCGTGGAATCTAGTTCTCAGGGAGACCCGCAACTAGTATAAGCTTATAAAGGATCTAAAGATCCATCCACCATTTAAAGTTGTCTGGTAATGAGAGATGACATTGTATCCCCCAGAGAGGCCAAATCAGAGTCGCCAGCCAGCGTTCTAGATCAGCCTTAATTTCAAGAGAAAGCCAAGGACCTCATCTGCAGGGGAGTGTGGTTTTCAGCCCCAGCGAGTGTCACTTTGAACTTTCCCTTTGCTTTTTTCTCTCTTCTCCCTCCCCACCCACCCTTAGGCTCCTGATCTGGTGAGTTTGTTATGGAGTGAAAATAAAAGTCAAGCAGAGACCTTGTTTCCCGTGCCACCATTAGTACCACAAGCTCATGGCTAGTTACCACATTACTTCCTGGCAGTTTGTGTCCCTCAGCTGTGCCTTCCAACCAGCGCCTGAGAATCACTGCATACCACCCTCTAGGTAGGGAAACCTACACTGCTGCTGTTCCTGTGATTATTTTACAATGAATAAATAATTGTCAAGTTCCATTTAAAAACTGAACAGTAGTATTTTTGTATTTGCGTAGAAAAAGCCTGAAGGAAATATACTAAACTTTTTGTTGGCTTATTTTCCTTTGCGCTTGCTTATATTTTTTACATTTTCTACAATAAATGTGTACTTTTATCGGAGAAAAAAATTAAATGTTGCCACAAAACATTTAATCTCCACGCCCCCAGCTCAAAAAAGGAAATGATATTTAAAAGCTTCCTGGTCAGATTTCTATTAAAAGCACTGGCTGTGCATTAGATACAAAGAGGAGTCATTTCCTGCCTTGGTGATACTATTTTTTTCTACTAACTCAAGAGTCTTTATTAAAAAAAAAAGTTGTTTTGCCTAATTTCAGCTTTTAGCAAGCTTCCCATCTGTAAAATGATTTGGACCAGATATTTCTAGAGTCCCCTCCAGCCATAACATTCTGTCTCAAATTAAGTTCCAACCAGCAGAACAATGACAATACTTAGGAAAGTATTTTGCCAGTATAAAATGTCTTTAACTTACTCTTTGCTGACACTGATACTTTCCTCTAATTTAGTGTCTATCAGCTGGGTCACATCTTAAGTAAAATGAGCAATTTTAACCCCCAACATTTGGCATTTTGTCATAAACCAGCCAGTTATTTTATGCTGGTCATTCATCTTGACTACAAAGTAGAATAGTCAAGCTGTCATTCCAAATAGAAAACTTTTTACTTCAATCAGAATTAAGCCTTAACCTGGAAAGTTGGTTTCTTCCTTACATTTTCCCAATCTCCTACTCTATTCTTAAACATGCTAGTTTCACTCAGTTGGGTATACAAGCCTTTGGGCTTTATGTTGTATGTTACTAACCACCTTTTACCATATTTATCTTTTGGCATCATTCTGGGACATTGCTAAATTAAAAAAGAAATTGTTTCCACTTTTTTCTGGAGATGTTCAACTAAAGGTTGTTTTGTTTTGTTTTTTGTTTTGAGACAGTCTCACCCTGACGCTCAGGCTGGAGTGCAGTGGTGCAACCTCGGCTCACTGCAACCTCCACCTCCCGGGCTCAAGCCATTCTCCTGCCTCAGCCTCCCAAGCAGCTGGGATTACAGGCACCCGCCACCACGCCCAGCTAATTTTTTTGTATTTTGAGTAGAGACCGGGTTTCACCATATTGGCCAGTCTCGTCTGGAACTCCTGACCTCAGATGATCCGCCCGCCTCAGCCTCCCAAAGTGCTGGGATTACAGGCATGAGCCACCACGCCCAGCGTCCAACCCACTGTTGGATGAAACTTGCTGCACGTCATACATTTTGCTGTTGGCAAACAAGTCTGAATGTTGATTTGAAGTTTGGTAGTTTATTACTATCTATTGGCAGCAAAGACTGTTTATTGGTATACTACAATATGATTTAACTTTTATTTTGGGGATAAATAGTAGAAAAAAGTGAAACAGAATGAAGGCAGGTGTTTTTTATTCTAATGATGGAATAATACAGAGATACTGGACGATCTCTAGCAGTTAATTATTGTGACCCATATAAAATTATACAGGTCACAGTATAATTCTCTATTACCGTTTTTACACCAGTAAGTCTTAGATAAACTAAGCATGCTTATGAATTATGTATACAGTTAGAATGCATTATTTTTACAGAGGAACAATTGCTTGTATGTACTAACACTGTTCTCTTGGCTTGCCTCAAGTTCTACTCATTATTTTATATAAAATACTATTAGGCTGGGCACGGTGGCTCACGCCTATAATCCCAGCACTTTGGGAGGTGGAGGCTGGCGGATTACTTGAAGCCAGGAGTTCGAGACCAGCCTGGCCAAAATGGTGAAACCCCATCTCTATAAAAATACAAAAATTAGCCAGGTGTCATGATACATGCCTGTAATCCCAGCTTCTTGGGAGGCTGAGGCACGGGAATCGCTTGAACCCGGGAAGCACAGGTTGCAGTGAGCCAAGATCATGCCACTGCACCCCCAGCCTGGGTGACAGAGTGCAACACTGTCTCACAAAACAAAACAAAAACATCAGATTCTGTTTGTGATGCCTAGTTGCTTACAACCTAAACAGTGCAATGCCTTAAGGAAATGAAAAGGAGCCATAAGTAGTCATTTATATTTTTATTTTGAAGTGTGCTTTTTCTAAACTCCCAGATTGACATGATGGACTGTAAGTTAGTTTCTCTGTTTCTGTCTTTGTGCCTGTAGAGTGTACTTGGCACTTACAAATTCCCAGTATCCAGAAAGATGATCTGATGAAATCAAATTGGATGGATCTTGGCAGACTGTGACACTCAATTACAGCCTTCACTTTCAGTCAAAAACGGACACTTGGCAAGGAGGTGCCTGGTTGTTTCACTAAATGTCACTTGTGTGTGTAATATTTTAAAGCTTTTTCCCCACAGGAAATTCGGGTCATAAAATCCTGAAAAATAATTCTAGGTGGGAAAAGCATTTTAGGAAATGAGAGATGTGGTGCTGCTTTTCTTCTCTCAGAGTGCTTTCTCAGCAGGACACTAGCCCTGCCTTTAAGATGGGGAAGTTGGGGCATGTGCCTCTGCTCTTACTGTCTGCAGCTCTGAAGGTAGGTGCTGTCCCACTCGGACAATCGCCCAAGCAGCAGTGACCATAGTTCTCTTCTATGCAAGTCCCCAGGAGAAGGTAAACTGTGTGGAATGGGGATGTGTTCTGGTTGCTGCTGAATCCCCTCTTCTTACCACAGTGCCTGGCACGTTGCACACACTCAAATACGTAATAATGAACATTTATTGAAAGCAGCAGTTGAAGCTGACCAATTTCTGGTACCTTGTCATGTAAATTTTAGATGGTAAGGCGCAGATGTTACTTTTTTTGCTTTTTTTCTTCAGCACTTGATGAAATTTCCCAAACATGCAGAAATGTTGAAAGACTTGTATAGTGAACATCTACGACCTAGAATCTGCAGTAATATTATGTTACATTTGCTTTATCACTTGATAGATGTTACTTTTAATGAGACTTCAAGTTTGGTTTCTCTAAACAAAATATTCTAAAATAACTGAACAACTTTAATCAATTTGTCTTAAGTTCTTTGGGGGAACTTGGGACATTTGCTTTGTAACTGGAATTGCAGCCCTCACGTTAAGCTAATTTTAAACTTTGCAAATTTGTTATGCTGAATTTCAGTCTTATTTATTTTGCCTGAAGGGGTATTTTTTGTAATGGATTTATTTGAAGGTCCTTGATAAATTGTGCAGAATATTCTCGTGTTCTTTTTGCACTTGATAAATTATCTAATTTCTGTGGTGAGAATGTAATTTGGGGCCTATTTTGTTTATACAAGCTTCCAGAATTATGTTCTCAGAGGGATGAAAAGGTGTAATTTAGCATATAGGTCACTAAATTAGGAGCTAAGACACATTTTCTCCTGACTGACCATGGGTCAATCAGTTTTGTCTTCGTGTCCTTTTCCTTGTAAAGTAGAAACTAGAATTTGAAATTTAAATATTAAATAATGGGTAACATTCATTAATGTATGACTCTATTAAGAAAGACACTGTGAATCCAGGGAGGATTCTCATAATTCTGTAAACTGTATGACAAGCTGTGGAATGAAATCTGACTTTTGAAAATTGAAAGACATCCAGTGGTCTTATCACAAAGCCTGCTTTTCCTCAGAACTTAACTATTGCCATGGAATTTGTAAGCAGTTATCCTAATCCATCTGGACTCTGAAAATGCATCCTTTATGAGAGGGAGTGAATGCAAAGATAAGGGTGGGGAAACACTAATCATGAAAAGAATGAAAATCAGTGTTCAGTTTTAAGAGCAGGTTGTATTGAAGGAAGGGATTAAAGGAATTATCCAGATTTGAGGTGGCACATCTTCCACCACTCCCTGCACCATCAGCATGCACGGAGCGCATAAAACAAGCCCTGCTCCTAATGGCAGTGAAACCTCGGATGGCCTCCATCAGGTCAATACAACTGAATTGCTGGGCTGACTTAAGATTGAAGGACTCCATTTTAGTAAGTAGAGAAGTGTGACCTTTCTCAACCCAGGTTGTGAATGTGGATTCACACTTATCTCAAAAAGGCACCTGGAGTTTTAACTTTATGTCATGTCTCAGTACTGGTTGCAAGGTATGACCAAAAGTGTTCCTTGAATGGCACCTTTTTGAATATTAATTTAGAAGAAAACATGCCAGACTGACATACTTACCCCCTCCGCACTGTTACTACTTCCTTACCAGCCCTATGTACTGCATCAATGTCTACAAGAAAGCACTCTTCATTAAAATGAAATATATATATTAAAATATGATAGTCCAAGTGGTTTTTGTTAGTTTGTTTTTGTTTTTGTTTGAGACGGAATCTCGCTCTGTCACCCAGGCTGGAGTGCAGTGGCGGGATCTCAGCTCACTGCAAGCTTCACCTCCCGGGTTCACGCCACTCTCCTGCCTCAGCCTCCCAAGTAGCTGAAACTACAGGCGCCCGTGACCACACCCGACTAATTTTTTTTTTTTTATTTTGTATTTTTAGTAGAGACAGGGTTTCACCGTGTTAGCCAGGATGGTCTCGATCTCCTGACCTCATGATCCACCCGCCTCGGCCTCCCAAAGTGCATGGATTACAGGCATGAGCCACCGCTTCTGGCCCAGGTGGTTTTTAATGAAATAACTACTTAGATTTTTGCTTCATAGTTGTTCTATTTGGGGGACTATGTAACTAACTATATTGGAAGAGAACAGTTTCAGGCACTAGTTTTCACTTGAAATAACTAATACTTGCTCCTTCAGGAAATGGTAAGTGAGGTTCCATTTTACTCCTTGGTGTGGGCTGTGGTTTCTGCCCGGGGGCCTTTAAGACTGCATTTTGGCTGCATAAATGTCTTCTTTTGAGAAGTGTCTGTTCATGTCCTTCGCCCACTTTTTGATGGGGTTGTTTGTTTTTTTCTTGTAAATTTGTTTGAGTTCATTGTAGATTCTGGATATTAGCCCTTTGTCAGATGAGTAGGTTGCGAAAATTTTCTCCCATTTTATAGGTTGCCTGTTCACTCTGATGGTAGTTTCTTTTGCTGTGCAGAAGCTCTTTAATTAGATCCCATTTGTCAATTTTGTCTTTTGTTGCCATTGCTTTTGGTGTTTTAGACATGAAGTCCTTGCCCATGCCTATGTCCTGAATGGTAATGCCTAGGTTTTCTTCTAGGGTTTTTATGGTTTTAGGTCTAATGTTTAAGTCTTTAATCCATCTTGAATTGATTTTTGTATAAGGTGTAAGGAAGGGACCCAGTTTCAGCTTTCTACATATGGCTAGCCAGTTTTCCCAGCACCATTTATTAAATAAGGAATCCTTTCCCCATTGCTTGTTTTTCTCAGGTTTGTCAAAGATCAGATAGTTGTAGATATGCGGCGTTACTTCTGAGGGCTCTGTTCTGTTCCATTGATCTATATCTCTGTTTTGGTACCAGTACCATGCTGTTTTGGTTACTGTAGCCTTGTAGTATAGTTTGAAGTCAGGTAGTGTGATGCCTCCAGCTTTGTTCTTTTGGCTTAGGATTGACTTGGCAATGCGGGCTCTTTTTTGGTTCCATATGAACTTTAAAGTAGTTTTTTCCAATTCTGTGAAGAAAGGCATTGGTAGCTTGATGGGGATGGCATTGAATCTGTAAATTACCTTGGGCAGTATGGCCATTTTCACGATATTGATCCTTCCTACCCATGAGCAAAAAAACACATGAAAAAATACTCATCATCACTGGCCATCAGAGAAATGCAAATCAAAACCACAATGAGATACCATCTCACACCAGTTAGAATGGCAATCATTAAAAAGTCAGGAAACAACAGGTGCTGGAGAGGATGTGGAGAAATAGGAACACTTTTACACTGTTGGTGGGACTGTAAACTAGTTCAACCATTGTGGAAGTCAGTGTGGCGATTCCTCAGGGATCTAGAACTGGAAATACCATTTGACCCAGCCATCCCATTACTGGGTATATACCCAAAGGACTATAAATCATGCTGCTATAAAGACACATGCACACGTATGTTTATTGCGGCATTATTCACAATAGCAAAGACTTGGAACCAACCCAAATGTCCAACAATGATAGACTGGATTAAGAAAATGTGGCACATATACACCATGGAATACTATGCAGCCATAAAAAATGATGAGTTCATGTCCTTTGTAGGGACATGGATGAAATTGGAAATCATCATTCTCAGTAAACTGTCACAAGAACAAAAAACCAAACACCGCATATTCTCACTCATAGGTGGGAATTGAACAATGAGATCACATGGACATAGGAAGGGGAATATCACACTCTGGGGACTGTTGTGGGGTGGGGGGAGGGGGGAGGGATAGCAGTGGGAGATATACCTAATGCTAGATGACGAGTTAGTGGGTGCAGCGCACCAGCATGGCACATGTATACATATGTAACTAACCTGCACAATGTGCACATGTACCCTAAAACTTAAAGTATAATTAAAAAAAAAAAAAAGACTGCATTTTACGAAACAAAATTAGGCCTAAGGAGAGAGGAACTTCCATAACTACTTTAGGTCCAGTGAGAAAAACAGATAAATTGAAAGTGTGAATTTGTTGGGAATAAATACCATGAATTTATTCCCAACAAATAGAGGCAGAAAGGGCTGTGGCTGTCTCTGCCTTCTCCCTAGTTACCAAACTCCCTGATTGGGTTTTTAAGCAAAGCTGCCTCTGTTGTGGAGCTATTAACAGCATTTTTAGGAAACTCTATGGGTCAACCCCTTTCTCTTCTAAAGTAGACTCAACTTCCCTAAGTGGAGTACAAAAGCTGGTAAGATATGTAATTACTTTATAAATGCCACCTTAATTTTTAAATTAAAATTCCAATGTTGTTAATCCCAGAGTAAGCAATGAATTTTTTAAAAATATTCCACTTCTTATTTTTGGTCAACTTCTCAACACTTCTATCATCTAGTCTATTCTGTACATGTCTGTTACTCTGTTGTCACCTTTTTAAAATTAACTGTTCTACCAGGGCCAACAGTGGCAAGAATACTTTACCATGACACTTGTAACCTTGTCAGGGAATGTTGCATAATCACAATAATTTTTGCTTCACCTGGGTAGGGTTTTGCATATTTCCATAGAAAAGCAAGTCTGATTGTCACAGAACTTATATTCCTGAAAGGTAAATTATAAAACCACACTGAAAAATAGATTCCCAAATTCTGAAAAATAATTGTTCCTGCCCTTCCCACTTTCCCACTTGTTCTAATATGATTGGCAGAGACTGAATTTTGTTTTTAATGTGAGTATTGGGGGTGGGGGACACTTGTCCAGGGAGGTCTGGCCTGTCTTGATCCTAGCTTCATTTCCCCCCAGGTCACTTAACCTGAAGCTAAATAGGTAAAGTAAGACAAAGCGCCAGCAAAAGTGTTTAAAGTAATAGTGGTGGCTCCGTACTTTGGGAGGCCCAGGCATGAGGATCACTTGAGGCCAGGAGTTTGAGACCCCAATACAGTGAGACCCCACCTCTACAGGAAAAAAAAAATTAAGTAGCTAGTCATTGCCTTTGTAATAGGTAGGAACCTGAAAGTAAAATTTATTTCAGCCCTAATGTGGTATTCCTTTGGAGCCATTTTGAAAGAAGAAAAGGAAAGCTCAGGTCTTCTGAATACAGCTGGGCTAATAGAGTTAAATTTGACTTTTAAAAATGCCTTTAGCATCAGTTTTTTGCAATGTTTTTTTCCTTTGGCTCAGAACCCACAGTAAAATTATATAGATTGATCATAGAAAGAAAATTAATATGCATACTGACTCAGCTGAAACAAAAAGGTTTATGAAACACCTCCTTTTACCACATTCTATGCTTTCTGGTATTTTCTGCCCTTTTTTTCACTTCTAAAATGTAGTCCAGGACACAAATGAGTTTATAAGACTGCAGCTTGCCTCTTGAGTCAAGACTGCCCGGAAGGTTAGAGGCCAAATTTGTTCACACACACACACGCGAACGCTGTCAAGGATCTTTAGTCCACAGGGGTCAGCCTGACCTCCCAGGACCCTATTTTCAGGGCCCTCCCAGCGCAGCCTTTCTCTAATTCCATGTGGTCTGGGCTCCAGTCCATCCAGCCCCTGCAGCCTCGCCTCTCAGGGCCTGGTCCTATTGCGTCTGCCTCTCCCTCCTTCCCCCAATCTGAGGTAATCTCGTTTTCTGGAAGGAAAACCCCATCTCCTCTCTTTTCCCCCAATATTCAGGTCCTCTCCCACTCCACTTCTCTAAACTCTTGGAAGAACTTGAGCTTTAGGAAAACAAAGTCCAGAAAGATTTACAAACTCCTTCGTTGTATTTTGTTAGTTTTGCCCCTGCCTCCCCTGAGGCAATGAGATAGGGTCTTAACTGTTTGAATGAGAGCAAAAGGGAAAAGAGGGTTGGGACATCTCAAAAAAATTACTTTCAACATTGAACATCTCCTTAATTAGAATGTGCACTTTCAAGAAAGGGGTAGACCTCTCGTAGATGGGAATCAAAGATACCTATTTTTGGCCCTTGTTAAAGAATAATTTTAAAAAAAGTATAATGACTCTCAAAACAGATACCAAATGAGCTCATGTGAAAGTTTTATTTCCCTCTGAGGAAATAAGGCACATGTTATAACTGACCCAAAGGAGAATCCAAAGAAAAGATACTCTTATGGACCAGGAATATTGAAATAAATATGCAAATGGAGCCAAAACTTGCTTCTTCCACACTGCAGGGAGAAAGTCAAGAGAACCTCCTGGATAAGACATAATTTGCATTTCTAGAACAATTATTTTGCATTATTATCAGTTATGTACAGGACAGAGTTGTAAAATAAGCTCCTTTAGACTCAAAACCAGATAGCCCTGTTATTCTATTCCAACTCTTATTTTAATCCTTCTTAGAATCAGCTATAAGCTGAAGAGTGTGCATAGACTAGACAATGCATAGTGTGCACAAATTTTTCACCACATTTGCAATAATTCAATTCAGTGTCTGAATTATAAATAAATAGGTTTTTGGTGCCCATTTCAGCCTAGAATTGGACTTCTCTTGTCAGTTGATGTGAGATGATAGCTGCTTATAGCTCCTACAAAACTCCGAACTGGAGGACATTGACAAGGCAAGAATAGAGCAAACCCAGCTCAAGAACCATGTGGCAGTAGGTGGCAGCAAAAGTCTTTCTAAAGAATGCAGCTTTCAGGAAATGCAGCCTTCAAAAAAAAAATTATAAAATAGGATTAACCTCGAGTCCTTGGACCTTTAAGGAGTCCATAAATCCCCCTGAGATTGTATGCAAAAGGTTACACTTGGTGCATTTTTCTAGGAAGAGGATTATTAAATTTTTGCTCTAAGTCTGGTGAAAATTACAAAGCACTTTCAGCAAATATTGGAAATCTTCTGTCCCAACTGTCATATTAATGAGTTAGCCGCCAAATCAGCTTCGAATTAGAAACAGCTGAGGAGTTATTACGTCAAGGCATATGAAAATGATATTTTTTAAGGTCAATTAAAAAGTCAAATATCAGCCATGTCATGTGATTCAACCTATTTATACAGATTCCTGGTGGTTTCCAGCCCCACCTGCTTTCTGATACAGCCAATAAGTGGATGAACACCTGAGATCACCTACCACATCCAAATTAAAGTTTATGAAAATGGATTGTTGGATTCCAGCCCATCCCAGGCCTCACAATGTTAAACTTCAGCTAACTCCATCTACTCTGAACAGTGTGAATCCATATGGCCTTAGATCATCACCAGCACCTAGTTTACCAGGCGATGTTCTCAAGGTGTCTAGTCTGAGTACCGTCAGCTTCAGAATCTCCTGAGGAGCTTATTAAAATGCAACCACCAAGGCCTACGTCAACCTCCCTGAATTAGACTCTGATGGTGGGAGCTGGAAGGGGGAAGAATCTACATTCAAACAGGCTCTCAGGTAGCTCTTCTGCACCTAAAGAGTAAGCACAGTAGATAGGAGGAGAAAGTATGAGTTGAGGTATATCAGCTATATCAAAGTATAATTGATAAAACATTAAAATCATGACTCATTCAAATATAGACACATGTCAGAGGTTTTATTCAGCTCGTTAGCTTATGATGGAGCCATTAGCTGGGAAAGCTGATTCTTGCAAGAGCACTCGAGGAAAAGGGCTTTATATAATCCACCAGGAAAAAATATTTTCAAAATGAAAAAAGTTAAAATTAGATTGCTAGGTTACGGATGAAACTGGTTAATGTCCTGCAGGCTAATAAAATCATAACCTTTGGAGTTATCTCTCTTACCAGAAATGAAAATACAATTAACATGTAACTTCACAGTATCTAAATAGCAAAGTCAAACACAGATACATTCTTCTAGAAAATTAAATGATCCTTGGGTGGACTTGTTAAATACTTCTCCAGTGTGACATTGAAAGAGCATGCCACTCAACTTTTTGCCTTACACGTTCAGGTTTTAAATAACTCTTCTATACAGTGAATGAATACAGCAGAACATAAATGGGTGGACTCTACAACTCTGGGTAAGACAATTCAGGCAGTTCAGGCTGGAGCAGATATATTCAAAAGCAAGAACCAATTCAGAGGGAGAAGAAAACTGACTAATATAGAGAGTTGATAGATAACCTCTTGGATTTATTTTAGACACTTAACTACAATCATTTCCTCCTCCTTTTTTAACAAGTGATTTGTCCTCTTCGTAGTGTTTTGTTTATAAGCTAGCCATTCCCTAATGATTTCTCTTAGAAGTTTCTCCTAAAAGTTCACTAAATTTTTGAACTTTGTTCTTTTGTTTTTAATCTAAAAATTTGGGTGCTGTGTTTGTTTAAACATCAGAAATGTCCTCTGATTTTTATGAAACAGTTACCAACCTGGGGGATTAAACTGTGACCATCAAGAAACATGAATCTAAATAGAAAAACCATGTGTTCCAAGCCAACCTCAATGTTTTCTCATAACTTCTTTTGCCTTTAGAGAGAGAGATTAGGAATGAGTATCTCTGTTGTAAATAAACATCTAAAGTTCACCAACTTCATTTCATTTTAATTCCTTCTAATTTCCAGTAAAATTAAAATACAGTAATTTTTTGTAAAGTAATCTTGATGGTTATCTCTAAGTAGGATTACTTCTTTGTACTTCTCTGTATTTTTCTTTACTTTCCTGTATTTTTTAACCCAAAAACTAACTTAATTTTTTAGCTAACTTAATTTAATTAGCTTAAGTTAATAAATTAACTTGATTTTTTAAAACCTACTTCATTGATCAAATTTACCATTCTTAAAGTTATTGATAATATCAACATCTACCACTTATTATTGGCAATTTAATTTTTTAGAATTGATGTTTTATTTTAAAATAACTATATTGAGGTATATTTTACATATTGTAGAATTCACCAATATCAAGATATTTGTACACCAATATTCATAGCAGCATTATTCACAATAGCTAAAACATGGAAACAACTCAAATGTCCATCAGTGGATGAATGGGTAAACAAAATGTGTTATATATATGCAATGAAATATTTCAGCCTTAAAAAGGAAGGAAATTTTGACAAATGGTACAACATGGATGAACCTTGAAGATATTAAGCCAAGTGAAATAAGCCAGATACGAAAGGACATATTTTGCATGATTCCATTTATATGAGGCACTAAGAGTAGCAAAATTCATAAGAGACAGAAAATAGAATGGTGGCTGCCAAGGGCTAGGGGAAGAGGGGATCAGGGAGTTAGTGTTTAATAGGTACAGAATTTCTGTTGGGGAAGATGAAAACATTATGGAGATGGGTGGTGGTGATGGTTGTACAACAACATGAATGTACTTAATGCCACAAAACTACACTAAAATACGGTTAAAATGTTAAATTTTAGCTTATGTGAATATTTTACCACAATAAAACACACATACAGAATGAAATTCTGATACATGCTACAACTTGGATGAATCTTGAAGACATTACGCTAAGTGAAATAAGCCAGGCACAAAAGAACATATAGTGCGTGATTTCACTTAAATGAAGTACCTAGGGCAGTCATTCAGAGAAAGCAGAATAGTGGTTGGCAGGAGCTGGGGGAAGGAGGGGATGTAGAGTTACTGTGTAATGGGTAGAGATTCTGTTTGGAAAGATGGAGAAAGTTCTGGAGGTGGATCATGTAGTAATGTAAATGTACTTCATGCTACTGAACTGTACACCCAAAACTGTTAAAATGGCAAAGTTATGCTATGCATATTCTACTGCAATTTAAAAAATAAGCAATATCAGGTGTACAATAATTTTTAGTAACTTTACCAAATGGTGCAACCATCAACATCAATTAGTTTTAGAACATTTTCATCCCTGCAGTAAGATCCCTCATGCCCATTTACATTTAATCCCCATTGCCATCCACAGCCCCAAACAATTAGTAATCTACTTCTGTCTCTATAAATTCTATTCAGCTCCCCTGGGCATTTCATATAAATGGAATCATGGAATAGGTGGTCTCTTGTGTATCACTTCTTTCATTTAGCACGTTTTTGAGGTCTGTTCATGATGTAGCATGTGTCAGCAGTTTGTTTCCTTTTGATTGCTGATTAGAATTCCACTGTATAGATATGCTTTGTTTTGTCTATCCATGCATGTCTCAACTGATGGGCATTTAGATTGTTTACAGTTTTGGCTATCATACATAATGCTACTATGAATACTGTCATGCAAGTTTTTGTGTAGACATGTTTTTGTTTCTCTTAGATAGATACCTAGGAATGGAATTGCCAACTCATGGCAGTTTTAGGTTTAGGTTTTGAGAAACTGCCAAACTGTTTTTCCAAGTGGCTCCACTATTTTACATTCCAACCAACAATATACAAGGGTTCTCATTTCTCCATATCCTTGCCAACATTTGTTATTGTCTGTCCTATCATGTCCATTCTAGTAAATGTGAAATGGTATCTCACACTTGGATTTGCATTTTGCTGATGACTAATGATGTTGAGCATCATTTCATGTGCTTTTTAGCCATTTGTATATTTTATTTGATAAAATGTTCGGTTCTTTTGCCTGTTTTTGATTGGGATGTTTGTCATCTTTTTAATGATTTCTAAGAGATCTTTGTTAATTCTGAGTGCAATCCTTGAACAGATACGTGTTTTACAAATACTTTCTCCCAACCTGTTGCTTATCTTTTCCGGTTTTCAGTGGTGTTTTTAAAACTGCAAAAGCTGAATTTTGATGAAGTCTAATTAATGGTTTTCTTTTATGGACCATGCTTTTGATAGCATATCTAAGAAATATTTGACTAACTCAGTATCTCAACAGTTGTCTTCTCTGTTTTCTTCTAAAATTTTTATTGTTTTAGCTCTTACATTAAGCCTGCAATCTATTATTGATTTTTCTGTATGGCTTGAGGTGAGTATCTAATTGTCCCACCACTAGTTGTTGAACAACATAGAACAGTTCTCCAATCAATTGCCTTGCATCTTTGTAAAAAAAAAAATTGACTATAAATGTAAGGATTTATTTCTGGGCTCTCAGTTCTGTTCCATTGATCTGTCTATCTTTGTGGTAGTAGCATTTTGTCTTTATTACTGTAGCTATAATAAGTTTTGAAATTTAGAAGTGAAAGTCCACCAAGTTTGCTCTTCCCTTTCAAAATTGTTTTAGCTATTGTAAATATTTTGTATTTCAACCTAAATTTTAGGATCTGCTTCTCAATTTCTACCCAAAAAGCCTGCTGAAATTGTGATCAGAATTGCATTGAATTTGTAGATCAGCTTGGGTACAATTGCCATCTTTGCAACACTGAGTCTTCCAATTCATGAACATGAAATGTCTCTCCCACTATTTACATCTTCCTTAATTTCCCTCAACAAAGATTTACACTTCTTTCATCGAATTTATTCTGGAATATTTTATTCCTTTTGATGCTATTGTAAGTGGAAGGTTATTCTTAATTTCATTTTTGGACTATTTATTGTTCACATATAGAAATACATCAATCTTATATCCTTTGACCTTGTTTTATTATAGTTGTCTTTTCCTTCTAAGAGGGGCTTGTAGGTGTGTGTATGCCTCAAGATTTTCCACATAAAGGATCATGTCATCTGAAATAAAGACAGCTTTGCTTTTTCCTTTTCAAACTAGATGCCTTTGTTTTTCCTTTTTGCCTGACTGCCCTGGCTAAAATCTGCAGGACTATGTTGAATGGAAGAGGCAAAAACAGGCATCGTTTCCTTGCTCCTCATCTTTGGGAGAAAGCATTCAGTCCCTCACCATCACATATGATGTTTGCTGTAGGTTTTTGCAGATGTCCTTCATCAGGTTGAGGAAATTCCCTCTATTCCAAGTTTGTTAAATTGTTTTGTTTTTTATCATGAATTGTGTTGGAATTTTGAAGTTTGTTTTTTAACTCTATTCATAGTAAAGACATCACATGCCAATTACAGAAATTAGGAACATATAGACAACTAAAAAGAGCAATATAACACTCAACACTCATGATCTTACCTACTCAGAGACAGCCTAAACCTTTTCTCTGCCATGTGTATGTATATGTGTATGAATACGTGTGTGTGTGTATATACCTTCTAATCCTGCAAGGTAGGCAGACATGATTAACTATAGCTTGCAGAAGAGAAAAAGATTTGCCAAAGGCCACACAGCTGGTTTAGCTGGGCATGAGAAAGGATCTGACTGATGGCAGTGGCAGCAGAGCAACAGAGAAAAAAGAAGGTGGGGTTTAAACCCTAAATAGTGACCCCTGATTTCTCTGTGAGTTGGTTCCCTACCTTGTGCCCACTGGCTTTCTGGTGGCAGGTTTCGGGGCTGAGCCTCATGGCTCTCACACATTGTGTTGGGGGAACCCACAGAAGGGATTTCTCTTGAGTGGAGCAACTTCCCTGTGGGAAACTAGGGGCTCTGAGGGGCTGCCCAGCAAGCTCTTGCCTTTCTCAGTGACTGTAATTCTGCTTGGCAGTGGATAACTACATTTTCCAAAGAGTGGAGGAGTTTACATTGGAGTTAAAAGCAAAGTCTCTGGAGCTGAACTATGTCTTGGTCCACATTCTGGGGCTGCCACTTATTAATTACTCCATGGCCTTGGACAAGTTAACTTACCATCTCTGTGCCTCAGTTTCTTCATGTGTAAAATATTAATAATAATAGCATCTACCTCACTGGGTTGATACGAGGGTTAAAGGAGATAATATAGAGAAAGCAAGGATTATGCTAGCAACTGGCTACAGTAAACCCTAAATAAGTATTAAATGTTATTATTACAATTATTTGCCACAGAAATATCCTTGGAGATCTCAGAAGCTTGGAAAACACATAGGTTTTTTGGACTCCCCCTACATAATTCTAGTTGTCCATCACCACAGCAGATGCCACAACCTTAGCCCATTTTCTCTGGAGGCTTTTCCAGTTGCACCTGCCCAGATAGTAAGAGGAGCGGCAGTTGATGGCAATATTCTGAGAGAAAGTGCCCCTCTGGTAGCTCAAGGGTAGATATAAGGCTCCATCCCCAGACTACCCACTTTAGGAAGTGCTTTATTTCATGGTTTCCTCCATGTTCCGCCTCCCACCCTGAAGATGGGCCCATTTGTTTCTCACTCTCAGGGCTCCCAAGCCCCTTCTACATAAGCCTGCTGCCTGTCCCCTCTTTCAGCCATATTTACATTTGGGGGAAAGACCATGGTTAGAGGTTGCTTGGGAAAGATTATCTGAATTTTTCTGCTCTGGCCACCCACATATGCATGCATGGATTCAGCCCGGGTCAGACAAGTCTCTCTTTATCCCCAAGTACTGCTGAACCCTTCCCCTTCAACTCCAAAGGAAAGACTTAACAGAGGTGAAGTCTAAAACCATGTGAGATGGTGCTCCTTAGAAGCAGCTGATTGGATCAGGGATGGATTCATGATTCTTGAATCAGACCAATCAGATTCTTGAGAATTTGGCACAAGAAATTCAAAGAAGTTAGGCTGTGATCCATGAATTGGAAGGTTCCTTAGACTCAGATTGGGATAGCCTTTTGGGGATCATGTGTACCCAAGGGCAGAGTATTTACAAAGAAGTGTGTGTGTGTGTGTGTGTGTGTGTGTGTGTGTGTGTGTGAAAGAGAGAGAGAGAGAGAGAGAGAGAGACAGGCAGACTACCTTTTTCAGAGTATCTTTTTCAGTCCAGAGTTCCAAGAGTCCCTGCAGAATGTCCTGCCCTTGGGTTAAATAATACTCCTGTGTGCACAGGACCTCTCCAACTAGTTCAGGCAAGCATACCACAGGCAGTATGGTGCTTAGAGCAGAGCAGCGATTAAAAGCTCTCTGGCAAGAGATCAGACAAAACTAGGTTTGAATGCTCTCTCTACCATTCTCTGGTTGTGTGACCTTAGGCAAGTTGTTCAAGTTGCTCAACCTCTCTGAGCTTTAATTTCCTCATCTAGTAAAATGGGGATGATAATATTTACTTCATAAAATTGCTCAGAGGACTACACAAAACAAAAGAATATGAAATACTTAGGATGGTGCTTGGCATATAGTCGATGACCAGTAAATGATAATTTATGTACAGGTTAAGCATCCCAAATCCAAAAATTGAAAATCTGAAATGCCCCCAAATCCAAAACTTTTTGAGCATCAACATAATGCTCAAAGGAAGTTCTCACTGAAGCATTTTGGATTTTGGATTTTCTGATTTGCGATGCTCAATTGGTAGGTAGGTATAATGCAAACATTCTAAAATCTGAAAAAACCCTGAAATCTGAAGCACTTCTGGTTCCAAGCATTTTGGGTAAGGGATACTCAACCTGTATTGCAATTCATATCTTCTCTTTGAATTGACCTTTTATCATTATGAAATTTCCATGATTCTAAATTGGTAACAGTTTCTTTTGCTAGTGTTTACATGGTATATCATTTTCCATTCTTTTATTTTCAATCTGTGTCCTTATATTCAACGTGTGTTTCTTATAAACAACATATTATTTTTTATCTTGTTTTACTAACTTTGTCTTTTCATCAGAGTGTTTACTCCATACATAATTACTGATATAGTTGTGTTTAAGTCTGCTAGCTTGCTTTGGGGCATGACCCTTACTCCTAGACTGTGGCCCTTTGGGGGTCTCAACCAAAGCCCAGGATGTTTGCCAAAGCCCTTCCACCTCAGTGGGACTTGAACCTCTAGCTCCTCAGCATCATGTGGCAGCTGAACTTGGTTCACATATTTAGCATCCCAGTTGTTTTCCTTTCTGCTGATTTCCTCTAGTTCTCACTGTACCTGCACATCTTAGGAGTCAGCCAACAACTTGAGGGGAACTTGTGTGCATACTTCTCATTCAGCCCTTCCTATCATTTTACCTTCAAACTCCAGCAGCTCTGCAAGCTTTAAACTCTCCTCTTAGCCTAGTTAGACTGCTGCTTTCTGCTGTTTACTCCCTTGTACCCTCACCCACTCCAGGGACTCGGGGAAATCCTCTCAGGGGAAAAGCCAGGAAGAATGTGGAGCTTTCCTCATGTTTCCTTTCTCTTGGGGATCACAGTCTCTCAGGTCCTGCCTGCACTGGATGTTCTCCAGTTCCTTTGAACAGTTCCTTTATATATTTTGCCCTGCTTTCCTAATTATTTTATAAGGACAATTAATCTGATACAAGCCATTCCCATATGGCCAGAACCAGAAGCCTAATGCGATTTCCACTTATTGAACCCTTCTCAAAACGGCTCTAGACTAGGCAGCAAAAGTTTCTGTTGGCAGGCAAATGACTTAATCCTTACTTCAGCCTACAGAGAATGAAATGACCTCATAAGTTGGACCACAAACAAAGCTATCTGAGATATTTGACTGATATCAGACTGAAATTTAAGCACTTGTTAAGAGTTAAGAGTTATGCAGTCCTGAGAATATAAAAGAATTCAGAAGTCTATTTGGTTCAAGGTATTTACATGGCTTAGGATGTCTCTCAAAAGTCATTAGACCTAGGCTAGAATCACCAAGGAAATGAAAAGCCAATCTAATGAGTGACTTAGTGAGAAATGCATACTGCTGAAGGTAACTGAAGAACTAGGCAATTGTACGATACAGGAACAAGGGCTCCGAGGTCACTTCTTTTAAGCTATGAAGTCATTGACTAAGCAACCACAAATAGGACCCAGTGTCTCTTGGGGACTCACACAAGGATCAAGTATGCTCCACCTATAAACTCAAGAATGCTGAGAAGCAACCACCAAAATTACTGGAAGGGATATAGTTTTCTTAGGTGGGGGGAAAAGAAGCCACTCAATGTCTGCAGCTCTGGGTCTCACACCCAAAGGAAATTTCTGGTAGTGATTTGCCTTGGTTACCTGGAATGGTTATTATCTTCTTTAGTGGATATTTTTTCAACCCTGGTTCATCAGTCAGGGGCTAGTCAGAGGACAAAGGCCACATCAAGTATTTTAACAGACAGAATTTAATATAAAGAATTATTAATCAAAAATTGGACAAATAAAATGGCAAAGAGGGGACCCAGAGGAATCACAGAGGTGGTAACTACAGGAAGCAACTACCACCCTTAGAACTGGGGAAACAAAAAGCAGTGTTAGGGGTTATTGAAATTTAAAAAGTTAGAGGAGGGGCCCCAGAGGGCTTCAGAATTCTGAGGAGGGGTCCCAGGCTGGACAGTGCTTGTATCTCTAAGGGGAGATGTTGAGGCTGGTTCTGGGAATGTGGATAAACTGCAAACAGTAACTCAACACTGCTGCTGGACCCAGCTGTCTATGCTAGGTGATGTGGACAAAGACAGGATGAGCCCAACTCCTCTCCCTCCACCAGTCCCCCAGGCTCCCTCTAGCGCCCTCCATTGGCAGAACCTACCAGGGACCCAGCTGACAAAGCAGCAATGTGGTTTGCAGAATCCCAGCCACAGCATCACAAAAAAAGGAAAAGGCTCGAAACTGAGAGACAATATCTCACCAACACTTCAGGAAGGTTTAGATTTAAGGGTAGAAATATTACAACTCCACTTTAAAATGTATAATTGAGAATTAATTTAGACTTGTGATTTTTTTAATGGTGACATCTAAGTTTAAGTAGAGTATAAAAACATTTAAGAGCACCTAGATTTATCTTTTAAGTTAAATTTATTCACTTCTATAAGAGTTTAAAATTTGGGATGATTTTGCTTGTGGTCAGAAAAACCAAAGTACTTAAAAAATAAATACATTAAATTTCTAAATCTGTTTTAAAATGTTTGAAGTGCTAAGCTATGCTTGTAAATAAGAGCAAGCATTATTGAAACACTCCTCCAAAATTATTGCCAAGATCTGCTAGACTTATAAAATAGAATAATATTTGTAAGCTGAATTTAAAAGCATAAAAAAGTTTAAGCTTTGCATCTGAAATGGAATATTGATTCTAAAGACAAAATTATGTTTATTAAATTAAATATAAACTTATTAAATTATTACTTTAAAGACAAATTTTAACATAAGTTTTTTTTTAAAAGCCCCGAAATCTTTTCTACATAAGAAATTTACTGTCCAGGATACCAGAGTCCCTACGCCATGAGGTTTTCTAGAAATGACTGCAGAAAAGCAAGAGATGCAGCTTTGTTCCTCAGCTTTTCTAGAAACGCTGGAACATCTCTTACCTTGTAGCAAGCTGAGCAGATTCTGCCCCTGGCTTAGCTATTCTTCATTTTCTATCAGGCTAGGGTACCTCCTAGAATAGAAAGGGATGACCACTGGACTTGTGGTGAACCTGGGGTCAAGTCCAAGCTCCATTGCTTAAAAGACCCAAGGCTCAGTTTGCTCATCTGCAAAATGAGGGTGACACCTGCCTTGCAAGGTTGTTGTGAGGAACAGCCTAGTACTCGGCCCTCATGCTAGATTCCTGAATGCAGAGAGGGTTAGGACAAGGAGGCTCTTGCCTGAGTTCACTGGCCTGGGACACTCCCTCTTCCTGGCAGGAGAGCTTCTTCAAAGAGATGGCTCTTTGATTGCTTCAAAGAGCAAACAACAGGTGCTCTCACTGTCCTCAGGACTGTCAGATCCCAAAGCAATCTCTTACCACAGACAGAAAGAGGGCAGGCCAAGAAAATGAGCTGGCTCTGGAGCAAAACATCCCCAGGAACAGGGTTAACTCTCTGCAGGGAAGTGGCAGACATTGGCTGGAGCAAAGGCAAGGAGTTGGAAGAAGGGCTCAGACTCCCACCTGTGTTCACTGGGTCACCTGGCCACACAGCCTCAGTTGGAACATGCTTGGAGAGAGCTGCATGGGGAAGATCCCTACCTGGAGAAAAAGGAGAGAGGCGGTGTCCTTTCTGCACATACCTGGGAGGGGCGGGGTGGGGATCAGAATTACACCATCCCATTCATTTATTCAATGCACAGGACTTAGAAACTTCTCTATTGTGAGGCCCTAAGCCTGCACATATAAATCCTACCCATTCTTGACTTCCTGGATTAAGCCCCTGAGAATGTATAGAGGTTGAAGTGGCTGCTTCTATCTGGAGAAGTGAGGAGGGCCCCCAGGGAGAGGGAACAGTGGGAGCATGGCAGGGGATGTGGAGATGAAAGGCAGCTTCCTGGGACAATGAACAGTCCTGGTGAAGCTGTTGGTCTCCAACTCGAGGGAGTCAAAGAGCAGCCAATGAGGCCAGGAAGGTAGGTGGGGCCAGCTTGTGAAGGACCTTGAAGTCAAGTTTAGGTGTGTGGATTATATCGAAAGCCAAGGAAAAGTTTTAAGCAGGGGTTGCATCTTAGATCAAATGGGAATGTCCATAAGGGAGAGATGGAGTCTGTACACAAATACAGGAAGTACCAAGTTGTGTAAGTCCAGACTGGGGATGGTGAGGGCCTGACAGAAGGCAATGAGGCAATTAGAGATTGGAGCCTGGGACTACAGAATCATGGTCTCTGTGGGAGTCTAGGCCATGGTGGGTGGAGGTCAGGCCGTAAAGTCCCCAGGCCATGTCACCCAGTCTCCCCTGAACACTGAGACCAGCACTTCTATGCTGCAGTTTCATCTTCCCAGGCTCCACAGTACATCCCATGGCTGGCCTTTCTCCTGCTGGGAGAGAGATTTCAGCAGAGGCGGCAGCAGAGCAGTACCCACAGAAATCTTCAGTCCAGCTGAGGAGGGATGGAGACAAGAAGAAGCATGCCAGAGAGGACACCAGTGTATCTCTGGCCAGCTGAGGGACTCAAGGACATTTAAGGACTTTCAGAAGAGCTTCAGCCAACTTACCACTGCTCCTTAGCGTGAAGGCAGAGCCCTGGGGGGGACACTTTTTGTCCATCTTGCTTTCCTTCTCTTTTCCCATCAAATTCCACTGGGCCGGAGGACAAGGAGTTTCCTCAGTAGCTAAGCTGGTCTTTTGGGAGCTTGCTACCCACAAAGAGTAATCAGTAGAAGCAGCAAAACCTAAGGATTATGTGGTAATCATTATTCTGTGGGGCAGAATAAAGACTCCCCCTCCCCCATCAAGGATGTCCACATCCTAATCCACAGTACCTGCAATGTATCCTACAAGGCAAAAGGGACTTTGCAGATGTGATTAGAGACCTTGAGTTGGGAGATAATCCTGGATTATCTGGATGGGCTCAATGTAATCAACAAGGGTCCTAGGGAGGCCGAATGTAGTTTGGAGTGATGCCATGTGAAAGGGACTCAACCCACCATTCACTGCTGGCTTTGAAGATGGAGGAAGAAAGCCACAAGCCAAGGAATATGGGCAGCCTCTAAGAGCTGGCAGAGGTAAGGAAACAGATTATCCCTTAAAGCTTCCAGAAAGGAATGCAGCCTTGACACCACCTTGATTTCAGCCCAGTGAGACCCGTCAGACTTCCAGCCAACGAACTGTAATAATAAATATGTTGTTTTGAGCTGCTAAGTCTGTGATAGTTATGGCAGTGATCGGAAACAAAGCAGATCGTAAGGCTGGCTCCTTGTCACTCAGCTCTTGAGTCAGTTGACTTGGAGAGAGACCTCCTTTGGCCATTCTACCCACCGTCATCCTTTCTTCACTCTCCAGTCACTGGCACTTTGCCATTTCATCCAGTGTTGTTTGGTAGTTGTGATGCTTGTGTTGACCTGATTTCCAGCCTTCCCCCCTATAGTGTAAGCTCCATGAGAGCAGGCACCTTGGTTATTTGTCCATCACTGTATCCCTAGTACGAAGAAAAGCGCCTACACACAATGGAAACTCCACAAGTGTTTGATGGGTAGATGGGTGGATGAATGAATATGATGGTGCACTGCTATGTCATGGGCACACTAATGACATGAAACCTGTTGAGGCAGAATGCTCAGTGGTTATTTACCATAGTTATGACCTGCAAAGGCTCAACCAAAACATACACACTCTCCTTTTACACCCTACAGGATGACTAATCAGTCACACCTCTTCAAAGGCTCTTATTAAGTCTTTAGCGGTCTCAGACTGTTGCTGCTATAAGCCTCCTAGAAGTATTTATGCAGAGTAAAACATAAATTTCCTCTGCCAAACAGAATCAGAGGGGAATATATGAGATCATCCATGAGTACATATGGTAACTGTTCCCTCTAGGTCAAATACTCTGGGAAGAAAGGCCAAGCTGGTTTTAGAAAAAGTATTGGCTTCTCAGACTTTTTTCAGTATTTTCTAGCTCCACAATATGTTTCTCCAGGAAATGAGTTGCCAATCCAGTCCAGGATTGCAAACAAAACCCAGGGAAGACTGGCTGAGCTAAGGCTGCTGTCTGACTGTGGAGTAGAGGCAACAAGAAAAGAGGAGGCAGAAGTTGGGGCAGGGAGTTTGAGGGAAAGATGCATCAAGATCTAATTTGAGGAAAAAAAAAAAAGATCTGATTTGACTGCTATACTTGCAAATTCGATCAAGACACCCCTGGGGCACCCAGCATGAGAATAGGGTAACATGGACAAAATGTTGTTTATTGAATCCATTTTGGAAACAGACAACATGAAAGGTTTCTGTGAGCTCACTTGAAGAGTCATGATTGCTTCCTGTCATCAAATGTCAACCATAAGAAAATCCTAGCATAAATAATGAAAATGAATCTAGGAGAGAAAAAGTGGTTAAGGACACCTCAGCTCTCACTCCAATAGCTCTCTGATAGCTAACATGACCATAAACATCAATAAAATTTTTTATAGGTACAGTCTATTTACTGCACAAATATCAAATGTGTACATCGATGGTAAAAAGTTGTAAACTGGCTAACAGTCATCAGCACTTAAGTACACTGGGTCTATACTGACACTTCCATTCTCATTTTAAGAGCTTATATATTTAATTGATGACTGCTCTCCTCATCAGGGACATTTAAGATATGGAAAAGGCATTTATATACACACGCACGCATGCACATATGCTTAACCTTACAAACTGAAAAAGTAAGCCCAAGCATGATTAATTAATTACTTTGCCTGGATCAATAAATACTAGTCTCAAATGTTAAGTGTACTAATAAGGACAGAAGCTATCAGTTACATAAATTATCATGTTGCTACCTACTGATGCTCCATTTGCTAATGCATGTTAGTCAGTCTGTAGACTTTATCCAACACATACATAGAGATTATTTTTTTGTTTGTTTGAAACTCTCAGCAGATCAGCAGATCTCTTTTGGACATTTCTCTCCCATCACTCTTAGGATGAAAATGAAATAACTCTTAAAATAAAATTTCTAAATTCCCAGCCATCAAGAGCACAATTCTAATCAATCATATTTCAAATCTTCACTCAGAAGGGAAATGCCATCAAGAGTTACATAATGAGAAGGTCTCATCACCGTGGCAGCTTAGACTGATCTTCACCTTCTCCCAGCACCCTCTTGCCATATTGGAAGCCAAGGTGGCTCATCTCTTTGAGATTTCATAAATACCAACAGGAAGGGTCAGAGGGGGAGCCTTGTCTTTTTTTCTGGAGCTGTTATCAGTGAGACCGACAACTACAAAGAGGAGGATAGGGATTCAAGGTGGATAAAAGCCCCCAGACCTGGAGGGAGCAGTAGAAGGATGCAGCACCGTGCCAAGGCCTGCTGCCCCCAAGTGCTTCACATGCTAGAAATTCTCAGCATTTCTTTAACCACAGAGAATAAACATCCTTCCAAAAGGTCCTGCCCACATCTCCCCTCTCTCCCAGCACTGTAAAGCATGGAAACATTCCATTTTCCATGCTTCCTGGAGAATCCTCTGCCTATGAGGCAAACTGGGTCTCCCCACCCCAATGCAGCTTTTCCTAGAAACCATGAAATTTACGAATTTACACAAGCCATTGTGGGTTCAAGTCCAGCTGCTTCTAGAGCTCTGTGACCTAACAGCCCTGCCCACCATGGATCTCTTTATCCTGAACCACTTCCAGTCTCTTTTCCCAGGAGCTCTGCTTGTGTTTTTAGTGTGAAGACTCACCCCACTGAAAATGAACAGTGCAAGATCCTATGTGCAAAATTTGCAAACATTTTTTTTTTTAAACGATACACATTTTAAAAATTCAAGTCAAATCCAGATAGATAGATACAGGCCAGTTGGTTGGTATCAGCTGGCCCCTCATACCCACCATAGGAAAGCATGATGAGAAAGTCCGTTTCTGAAATGAGAGAGACAAGAGGCACCAGCTTCTTATCTGGGGGTGAGTTCCTTGAGCTTGAGAGGAAGCCTGAGAGGGAAATGCTAAGGCTCAATGAAAGACAGGGCAGCTCCAGCCTCGCGGCCCTCCTGGGTCAAAAGCCAAAGGCCTCTGTGCAAGCAGCACATAGGATCTGGATGTAGGTTGAGGATAGATCCTCACCCACCAGTGGGGTAACTTTCCCAGCAATTCTGAAACTAAAATAAGGAAGGCACATTCCCAGAGCCCTGCTGAGTAGGGGCTTCAGGCTATTTTCACTCTACACAAAATGGGGGAGAGGAGTTCCCTCTCCACTAATTTTTCACCCATAAACCTCCACATCACTAGGAACCTAAAGGGGAACTCCAAAGGCCAACACATCCTTGGTGGTTATATGTGTTGTCCTGACAACCTCCTGCTCCAGAAATGCCAGGAGCATTGGATATGTCATTGGGAGCATCAGGCAGTCCAACATCGGAGGGAGAAAGGCCCAGAGATGAGGATCTGAGTCAGGCTGGCAAGGCTGGAGTCAGAAAGTGACCATTAGGCAACTGGTCACTACAATTGGTGGCTACAAAGAAGTGGTCACAGTCACCAAAATAAAGAGGTTTACAACAACGGTTTCCCCTTAGGTCATTTTGACCAGGACAGTACCCTAAAGGAAATAAGGCAGCATCGCATAAAGCAAGAGCCCCCCTCAGTAATCCACGGAGATGGAGGGGTCCTCATCCTGGTTGCAAAACAGGAGATGGAAAGGCCCAGGGGTGGCGACTCAGCTGAGGGAAGCACAGTTCAGCTCCGAGCCCTCCTGGCTGCCCCTGGCCCCCTCCTCCAGTCCGTCAGGGTTGTCAGTGATGTTGGGCTCACTGGAGCACTGCCGGTGGGGCGGGGGGAAGCTGGGTGGCAGGAGCAGGCACTTGTTCTCACTGCTGGCCTCCTCCCCCAGGCCCGAGTGCATCATGGTGGCCATGGCCAGCAGCTGGATGTCCGAGTGGGCATTGGCCACCGTGTGCCGCCGCACGCTGCCACACTTCTCCAGGTAGGCTTCCCCCTCCTGCTCTGTCAGTGGGGTCAAGACCATCTCATTCAGTGGCCGGCTGACTGCGGTTATCGGGGAGGCATAGTTCAGGACAGTCACCTTGGGCCGGACCCTGGAGTGCCGCCTGGCTGCAAGAGAAAAATCAGCAAAGACTGTTATTGGGGAGGGGGTATTGGTGCTTAAAAGCTCCTAATCCAACTGGGGGAAAAGAACAAGGTGCTCAACCTTTAGGAGCAGCTCTTAGGTGCAGCCCTGCCACAATGCAAGGGAGGAATCTGGTGATACCTAAATGTTTCTCTTGCAACTTTACCTGTTTATGCCAGATCCTGCCTGTAACCAACCCTACCCCACATATTAGGTGGTCACCAACAGACTTTCCTTGACAGATAAGAGTCAAGGGAATCTGGTGTGTTTTTCAGCTGCTGCCTGAGCTTCATTGGGTTTGCCCTAAAATTCCCTTTCAATCAATGTCCTCTGAGGACCTGAGCATTCCAAAAGAAGCACCCTGGCTTCCTGCAGGAGTGGCCTCTCCCATGCCAACAGGTGATATAAAAGAGTCTTCCTAAGCTGAAATCCAGAGGAAGAGATAACTGGGGAGTTACCTCAGTTGTCAAACCCAAGGTAGCAGGACTATCTTGCAAATCATACAGAACCACGACTATCAATGGCCCTCATCTCCTGCCAGGTGAAGGGTCTCAGACCTATGTTCTGTTCAAGTCAATTCTCCTGGACTCAAACAGCCTTTAGCATCATCAAAGAACAGGCTAGGTTCCATGGATCACCCCAAGGAGGCAGACACAGGAAGGCTGGATACTAATTATAAAACTGCTGCTTTTTGTTTTTTTTTTGAGACAGTTTTGCTCTTGTTACCCAGGCTGGAGTGCAGTGGTGTGATCTCAGCTCACTGCAACCTCCGCTTCCCAGGTTCAAGTGATTCTCCCACCTCAGCCTCCTGAGTTGCTGGGACTACAGGCGCCCACCACCATGCCCAGCTAATTTTTGTATTTTTACTAGAGACGGGGTTTCACCATGTTGGCCAGGGTGGTCCTGAACTCCTGACCTCAGGTGATCCACCCGCCTCAGCCTCCCAAAGTGCTGGGATTAAAGGTGTGAGCCACCACGTCCGGCCTAAACTGCTGCTTTTGAATTCTCATCATGTTCCAAAAACTGTGCTAAACCTAGACATTTTATCTTTTGAATCCCCCCCAAAACTGAACCTAAGTCATGGTATTGTATCAGTTTCCACTTTCCAGATGAGAAAACTGAGTCTCAGAGAGGGAATAGCTTACCCAAGGTCATATAGATAGAAGGTAGTTTAAGCTGGGACTCAAACAAGGTCTGTCTCTCTCCAGACCCTTGCTCTTCTAGCTGCCCATCCAAGGCCCACAGATAACTAGGGTAGGTGAAATACCTTAAGGGAAGGATGAGCCAAGTGGAGGGGCTTCAAGGGCCAGAAAAAGCATGCCCATCTGGAGATAGGAAACTTGCCTGGAGGATGTACACTGGAGATGGACCTTTAGGATGGCAGAACTCCCAGAAGCGGTAAAGGGGTGACAGAGTTCTGAGCAATGGCAGCAGCCTGAGAAAGCTGCTGAGACAGGTGCACCATCAGGTCACAGCCTGGCTGGAACAGACTCCAGGAGAGGTGCCCCGGCAGGCAGATGGAAGCACCTGTGGTACCAGGTCACAGCACAGCTGCGGGGACGCAGTTAACATCGAAGGTCATAGGGCAAGATGGACTGTGCTCAGGAAGCTTCCTTGGGCAGAAGTGTGGCAGAATGGGCTGGAGCCAGCGAGGCCAGCAGCGAGGAAAGCCAGGGAGAAGGCTCAGGTATTATATTCCATAATAAATAGGGATCGCATGTGAAAAAAGGTAATGCTAACATCAGTGTCAAAGTGAGAGGTGATCAGGAAAGGAAGTGGAGTTGTGGTGATGACAGTAAGGTGAGGATGACCGCTAGAGACACCACAGAGATACTACAGAGATACTACAGAACCCCACAACTAAGAGATCATGGGAGCGGGGCAGGGAGGAGGAGCTGTGGGACAGAACAAAGGAACGGCAGACTTGGGGGAGGGGCGAAGGATGGGGAGGATGCAGAGGAGGCAGCTTGTGAGACCCAGCGCCGGGTCCTGGCCACATCGCGTCTGAGATGCTGAAGGGGCAACCTCCACCGGCTGACAGACATGCAGTTTTGAGCTGGGAAAAGAAGTTTCTATCTAAAGACAGAAATTTGGTCATTTTCAAATAATATTTAAGGACAGTGAGAAATGTTGATAATATTTGGTGACAAAAGCAGAATATAAACAACAGTATTATATGCATTTTGTCCCTTTTTAAGCAAAACTGGGGTTATACTGGGTGTTGTACTCACCCACCACACCTGTGTATAAAAACTGGGAAATGCTACATCAAAATATCTAGTTATCATCTCTGGGCAAAGGTATTACCCGGTGATTTTTAAAATTTCATTATCTTTTTATTGATACGTCTTTAAAATTTTCATTCCCTATGTGGGCATTTTACGACAAGAAGAAAACATTTTAGGATATGAAAAATCAAAGTCCTCTGGAACTTAGTAATGGCTGGGGCCCTCCGAGTAAATGTGACCTCTCTGAAAATGAAGATGGGGTAAAGGACTACATTATTCCCGTGTGTACACCTATGCTGGGTGGATAAAATGAGAGGGGCTAACAGCACCACTTTCAGAGGGGCTAAAGTATTAACAGCTAACACACAGGATAGCACTTAAGAATGTTCGGTGCTGATCTGAGCATCTTGTATCTGTGAATAATTAAATCCTCTCAACCCAATGAGCTGGGTACTGCTATCACCACTGCCACCTTACAGATGGGGAAACTAAAGCACAGAGAGGTTAAATAACTTGTTCAACATTGCAAAGAAGAGGCAAAGCTGGGACTGGAGCACAGATGGCAGCCTCCAAAAACCGGGTAAGCCCCATTGCCTTTCCAGAAGGAAGGAAACCCTAGGGTGGGTCAGAGAGGCAGGAGAAGAACCAAAAAACTCAGATAACTGAAGCCTCGGGAGTAGAGTCCCAAGAGAGGAAGCAAATCTGACAGCAGCACCCCAGCTCCCAGGGCCTCTGCTCTCCCACCTTCACATGGGCTGCGCTAGGGCAGAAACATGCACAGAGTTTGGAATAGAGTAAGCACCATGACAAGGCTGGGTCCCTTGGTCCCAGAGAAGTCCCCCAACTCATGCTCCTCTTGAGGCAGTGCTGCCTCCTCTGCCACCTAGGCCTGGTATCATGTCACGAGCTGAGCGGCTCTGGACCTGAGAGAGGCAGAGGCGTGGGATGGTCCAGCCACTGCAACCGGTCTGGCCTGGGAGAGAGTAAATTTGAAGGCACGGCCATGGGAGAAACACAGCTTCAAAGGGCTGGGGGATGGGTGGATTCTGTTCTGGGCCTCCTCTTCTTTTCAGCCTCCTTTTCTGCCAGAGCACACCTCTTCCCAGCTTCCCAGTCACATACACCATTTCACCTGTCTCTGCCTTCCACAGTGCCCATATCTCTGACACCCTGAAGACCCAAGAGAAAGGTGTTCCCTCTGCCAGCCAGGCAGGACAATGCTGTGGGGAGAAAGGGAGTGGGGCCCAATGGTATCAGTATTTCCACCACACTTGGACAGGAGGGGGAACACCCCACTTTCCAAGAGGAAAGCAAACCATGCTGTTCACAGACTGGCCCATGGGGACACGTGGCTCATGCTGCTTTAGTTTACTCTCTGCTCTTCCAGTGGATCTGGAGGGCCCTAGACACGTGTGTCAGCCACTTCTAGAGCCAATGCTCCTGGAAGGAGATCACAGCAAGACCTGCCTACATCCATCTGCAAAGCTCACAGCAGCTCCCGTCATCGGACTGTTGTGTGTGTGTATAAATAATGAAGAGAATGAAATTCTAAACCTTTGGACTAAATCTTGAGTCTACTGGCTCAGAAGCCCAAGGGGCCTATTTGGTGGTGACAATAACAATTTTTCAAAATCAAAGGATATTACATAGAATTTAGAGTGTAGAGTGTGTTCCCACCCATGATCTCGCTGTTTAGTCCCAATCTCCCTCCAAAACAGAGTTGTTCTTAGTATGCCCACTGCACAGATGAGGAAGACTGAGGCTCAGCCCCGTTTCTCTTGGGTTCTAGATGGCAGTGCCCAGACTTTCCCCACTACACGCTGCTGTGTCTCAGGTGACTGCTGCTGCCCTCAGAAGACATGTTCCTTGAAGCAGCCCACCCACTGAAGTCAAGTAATAGCAAACACTGCCCCCCAGCAGATGCTACACAAGAAGCTGACACTGGCGCCCCTCTTTGGAGATAAGAGACAAAACGCCAAGGAGCAACCAAGAATACACCAGGCATTGGCAGCGGTTCTTTCTGAAGCATGGATGCTCGTACTCTCCAAGTTACACATTTCTATAATGTTCCCACATTCTTATAATACCTGTATTACTTTTATGATCTCCAAAATCAATAACTATAAAACAGAAGCACCAGAAGAGTTCAGAGCAGCAAGGATCCCATTGAAAAACTGTCCTTAAAAAAAATGCCCTTGAGAACAATTCATTTCTCTCTCACTGCTGATAGAAGTACACACTTCAGATTGCTGTTGGGAAACCCATGTGGGGACCTGAACCCTACAACCAGTCTAGCAGGAGACAGGACGAGACCTGTTTAGGGAGCATTTGCTTCATGCAGATGTCTGGGCCTCTGAGACTGGGTACCTACCTGCCAGGAGGGGTTTGTGCAAAGGGGAGGGTCAAAGAGGTAGACAGTAGTGACATTATTTCTAATGTTGCTAGAGATTTCGATGTTTTGTTTTGTTTTTTGTTTTGTTTTTTTTTTTTTTGAGACGGAGTCTCACTCTGTTGCCCAGGCTGGAGTGCAGTGGCGCGAACTTGGCTCACTACAAGCGCTGCCTACTGGGTTCACGCCATTCTCCTGCCTCAGCCTCCAGAGTAGCTGGGACTACAGGTGCCCACCACCACACCCAGCTAATTTTTTGTATTTTTAGCAGAGACAGGGTTTCACCGTGTTAGCCAGGATGGTCTCGAATTCCTGACCTCATGATCTGCCTGCCTTGGCCTCCCAAAGTGCTGGGATTACAGGCATGAGCCACTGTGCCCGGCCTCGATAATGTTTTATAAGAGTATGGGAGACTCCTCTCTTTGGGGAAGGGGTATCTGGAAAGATACAGTATTAATGTTAGATTTTATAACATGGCTGAAACTTGGAAGAAAGGCTGGGACCAGAGAAGACAGAGGGTAAATCGAGAGAACAGGAAATCAACTTGCTTGGCAGACACATGCAGCATCTTTGTAGGAAATGAGAATTCGTCAGATGATTTCCGCAGGTCCCAGCCCACTGGGATGAGCCAGGGAAAGGTGTCTCCAGTGATCCTTGGAGGGCCCAGGCAGCAAATGGACAAGAGAAGCCACTCTGGCTGCTCACAGGCCAAGAGCTGGAGCCAGAGGGGGGCTGCCCTGGAGGAGGAGACCACAACACCACCTGTCCCCACCTTCAACAAACACTACTACCTGTACATGCAAAATGCTGCACTAGCTGCAGAGAAGAAAAGAAACATAAATCTGATGTGGGGCCCCCAACAGGGGCTTGAGCCCAGCACACTTGTGTACCTCCATGCATGTATGTTCACATGTCAGGGGCACGAGTTCTTAGGAGGAACTATTTACTAAGCATCCATGATATGCTAGGTACTGTACCAAAAAGGAGGTGCTCCACTGATGGCTTCTAACCACTTCGCAGAAGAACCTGAAGTTGAGATGTGGAATAACAACAGTCATAGTTAGTGATGAAACCAGGACTCAAACCCAGAGCTGACAGCACAGGCCCAGCTTGTGACCCACATACACAAATAACTGTTAGAACAGGTCAGTGTGGCAAATGTCAGGTCAGAGATAGAGACGACAGCACCCTGGAAATTCAGAGGAGAAGGAAGAGAAGTCACAAAGCCTATTTCAGATGGGCTGTGCTTCTCTAGGCTTGACTTACAGACTGAACCACTCACTCACAGGAGAGGTCTGTGCCAGGTCCTGGGATACAAAATCCCTGCTCTCAACGAGCAAGCTCAGTGTAAGGGAGAGGCTGAGAAATAGGACATGGCAATACAGCAAGGCAAGGCCAAGGATGTGGTTTGGGATCCAGGGGAGGGATTGGGGAGGTACACACAACCTCCCCGGGGAGTGATTCCACGGACGCCAGGCCACCTTTAGCTGGGCGTCCATAACATAGCAGGCAGCTCTACCTGGCCCTTACCTGAGACAGGGCAGCTTCTTCCTCCTGCTGATCCTGAATGGAAGGACAGGGCCTCTGTGCTCAGCCCTCTGTGGCTCAGAAGTTGCTCCAGGCCACACAGCTGAGCCCCAGCTCTCGTGGTTTCCAAGGCCCTGCTCTCTCCACAGCTGCCTCAGCCTCTCTCCCCCTGCTGATGACTCACAGGAGAGGCTACAGCTCTTCCTTCTACTTTCTGGGTGGAATGTTTTCATTCCCAAGATTGGGTGTGGGCAGAGCCAGGACCACAGGGACCGCAAGGCTGTGTTGAGTCCCCCGGGCAGACAGCGTTTCCTTGCTAAGTTCCCGCCAGACTCCAGAGCCAAGCCTCAGACAAGTGCGTCAGCTGTGTCCCCACTGGGAGGTCAGGCCTGCTGGGCCCCTTGGGAGGCCTTAAAACTGAACGCCAGGCCCGGGGCTGGCAGACAGCGACCGACACTCTTGCTTCTTGTTCTCCTCCCCAATCTTTTTCTTCTCTGCTCCCGGGAAGGCAGGGCCCTGTCACCCAGGGAAGGGAATCTCCCACTAAGGGACTGATTACCCTGTGGGTACCCCCTGGGGCTCCAAACCAGCCCTTCCCTTGCAGTGGTGCCCTTTTAGCGGGAAGAGGGCCGGGTCCTGCCATTTCAGCTGGCATCTCCAGGCCACCTCTGCCTCCTCCTCTTCCCTTTCACACGGGGTGAGGCCAAGGGGAGGCTTTATTCCCTCCTCACTCACCAGGAGCCCTGCTGAACACTGGCATTCACTGGCATTCATCCCCTGCACCGGAGCCAGCAAGAGCAGCTCCTTTCAAACCCCCAGAGAGATGCAAAGCCTGGATAAGGCCGTCCTCGGGTCCTTTGTTGGGGACTTGGTTCCCAGGCTTTTGATCTCCCAGGCTCCCTGGCCAGGCCCCACCGGAGCGACCGCCATAATAAGGCCATTGTGACCCCAGCACACCAAGCCCGTGGTGGGTGTCCCTCTCCAGGCTGGCACCTGAAAGCCGTGAATGCTGGCTTGTCACGCAGAGAAGCTACAGTATCCTGAAGGAGAAGGGCCCTCCCCCAGGCAGACACAATGGAGGGAGGCCTGTGGGAGGCCAGGGCCTTTGTGTGGGAGAAGTCGAGCGTGCTGCTGAGTGTGTGCTCGGGAGGGCCCTGCAAACATCAGGGAAACAGCCTGGAGACTTCGGGGACTTGAAAGATGGGGCAAAGGCCAGCCTCTGAGGAGTCGGCCTTTTAAAAAAAAGTTTCACTATCCTCTTCCTCCTCCCTCAGCAACTCCCACTGTTGCAGAAAAGTGGCTGCTTTGGAGAGAGCGGCACGTTCTCTCTCACTCTCATCGTGGGCCTCTGACCTATGCGTACCCAGGGGTGAGGCCTGGCTGGCAGGAAGGGACACCTCCGGAGAATCCTCGTGCAGTCAAACACAGGCGCGGGCGCGTGGGTGCAGTGCGGAGCCCCGGGAATAAACCGCTTCTCTGGCTCTGGTCACCTACCCTGCGGGTGACCTGGAGACTGAAAGCACAACAGTACCTTGGAGGATGGAATGAGTTACGCGCCAAAACCCTGGTCAGTAATCCAGCGTGAGTGGTGGCTTCTGAAGGGATGAGTGGCCCCCACACCCTCCGCTGCCTACGACCACGCCTACCTATCCTCCGGCCCAAGTGAGCCACGGCAAAGCCCTCCCATAGGTAAAGGGGTTTATCACCCCCAACCCAACTCCTTAGTTTTTACTTCAGCCAGCGATCTCAATGCTCTCCTCCCACAGGCAAAATAAACCTTTTACTAAGGGGTAGACGGAGGCCCTGAGAGACCTCTCTTTATCTGGAAAGCAGTGTCCTCAGTCAGGATGGGCACTGCTGTGACCATTTTAGCTTCTTAGTATCCAGAGACATGGGGTGAAATGTCTGGCTTAGGATCCCTCTTGGGCTAAGGAACACCTCCTGGGCTGTCCCCTAATAAAGTCACCTCCTCAAAGTTAGCAGCGGTCAGTGGGGGTGGGGGTGGCGGTAGAGCATGTGGGGCAGCTGATAAAGTATCCACAGCTTGAGGCATTGGAATCCTGGCTCCATGTTACCTTAATCCTCACTTGCTTCCCCTGTAAACCTGGGAACAGCAGTGTCTGCTCCATGGTCCAGCATCCAGCACCCCCAGCACCATACCCAGGACGAGGTCTGTGTCCAGTAGCTCCCCTTGCCATCAGCTTCCTTGCAACTCTGAAGCCCTTTCAGTTCCTCTAACGCTCCTTCCTCTTGCTCACCTCCTGTCCTCCAAACCCTCCCAAGCTCCTCCCCTTGGCCTGGGGATAGTCATCCCTCTCTGTTTACTCAGCTAACTTATATTCATCCTGCAGGTCCCATCACAGACATCATTACTTCCTCCAGGTAGTCTTCCCTGATTCCCTAGTCAAGATGAAATCCCTGTGCCCTGGGACCCGTGGCCCCTGTACTTTCCCCCTCAGAACATGTGTACACTGATGAGACACTGCCTTGTTTGTGACTTCTTCCCTGGGCTGTGTGCTCTGGAGGGCAGGGATGGGTTGGCTTCATTTACAGATATAGCTATAGCACCTCCCAGTGTGCCAGGACAGGGTCTTAGTACACATTTGCTGAAATGATAATTTAAAATTAACCAAAAGAGGGTCACATCCTTCCCTCCCCGCCCCTAGTGCGACAACTCTCTAGAGGCAGGGACTGTCCTAGGTACAAGAATAAAACCTTGAGTCTTTGCTTTATAATTTGGCAAAAGTGTGCATTATTCTTATTTTAGCTAGAAAGCTAAAGCTATCCCCTCTTAGAGTGAGTCCTCACTGAACAAACTTCCCAATTGACTCTTGTTCCTGGGATAGGACACCAAAATATGCCACCACAAAATATGCCTCTTGGGCATAAGGATTTATGAACTGAAGGCAGTTAAGAAGCAGATACAGGAAGCTCTCTGTCCTCCCTCTATTTGCTTAAAGGCAGGATATAGATGTATAAAGACAAACGGTATCCCATCCCACTTCTACCAGGGAGAGCAAAGGTTAACCACTGAAGACAATTTTAGACCCTTATCAGCCAGCAATGCCAACAGAGAAACCTACATGAACAAGCCTCACTAACCAGCCCTTATCTGCCATCTATTTCCCTTGCCACAAGCTGCCACCCCTGAAGACTCAAAGTTGTTTTTCTTTGCCTTATCACTTCTCTAGAAATTTATTTTTTGTTGTTGAAGATGCTATATAAGCTGGAATTCAAAGCCATGTATTTAAGAACTACTGACTCCCTGGGTGTGACCCATGTATGTATGAAACATACAGTTTTAATAAGCTGCTGTTTGTTTTTCTCCTGTTAATGTGTTACAGGGTTCTGTTCCAACTAAGAGCTTAGGAGAGTTGGAAGAAAAACTGTTTTTCTTCCTCTACACTGGCATTAGGCCCAAACAATGGTAGCGTTCCTGCCATGGCCCAGCTAACCTGCTGACGTCCTGACAGCT
This sequence comes from Homo sapiens, assembly GCF_000001405.40. Classification (NCBI taxonomy): domain Eukaryota; kingdom Metazoa; phylum Chordata; class Mammalia; order Primates; family Hominidae; genus Homo; species Homo sapiens. The sequence goes on along the minus strand of NC_000011.10, from coordinate 36,452,706 downwards.
CCCTGGATGCCCCAGTCCCCCAAAATTCAGTGAGCTGAGCCAGCAGGAAGGTGGACTCCAGGGAGACCGCAGCAACATGGCACCCCAGCTCAGAGTGGGGCTGCAGAAGACTGTTTTCCTTCAGTGTCATTGAAACTCTGGCCCATTCCAGCTCCTGGGAGGAATGAGTGAGGAAGGGAGGGAGGAAGGAGAAGAACCAGCAGGCAGCAGGCTGGGGCCAGCACCCTCCGATCTGTGGTGGCTGTGGTTAAGCTGGTGTCTCCAGAAAAACATGAGCAGGGTGGTGAAAACTGCCAGCTGGCCCTGGCTCTTGCTGTGGTAGAGAGGCCCAGGAAGGGGCAGGAACCTCACTGGAGGACGCTCCTTTCTTTGAAGCTCAACTATTACAACTCCATTAAAGTGAGAAGAGGGGGCATCAGGTTCCCAATTTGAGTAATCCATTTCTGCCTCTGCATCTCTCCATGGGTGCTGGCTCCCCTGGCCCTGAAGTACCGTTGCTGCCATCATCTAACATTTTTTGAGTGCCTACTATACGCCAGGCACCATTCCTGGGGACAGAACAATGAATAAAACATTTCTGCATTTTGAGCGTTTATATTTCAGACAATAACTGGGTTTTTTATTATTATAATTATTGGAAGCCTTATCATACAGCTATTTCTACAAAGACTGGTCTGAGAGCTATTTTGTATTATAGAGATATTTGTACTGAACCCATCTAGACTGCAGTGTCACTGAGAGAAGGAACAGATCTGATTCATCTCCAGATTTTCCATGGTGCCTGGTACAGAGCCTGACACTCACTGATGCTAGGTTTACAGCCATCAAAAAAAGGCCCCAACAGGATTTGTCCCCAAATGCAAGAGCCCCTTTCCTTGCCATGTGGTGGTACCTACAGAAATGGAGTGGGAGACAGCAACTCGATAACATCTGGCCATGCATACAAGTTGGCCTGACATTTCCAGTTGGTTTCAAAGGGAAATCTATCTCAGGAGGTTTCTCTACTCAACCAGAGGGAGGGTGTAACAAAGCACAGTTTCTGGTGTCAGATACAGAAAGATTAATGTCCTAGGCGCACCAAAATGATCAAAGCCACTGATCAAAGATGTGGATCAGACAAGCACCACCGCAAAGGCACAGTATCGGTCCTTGGGGAGGAATCATCAAGGGGGAGAAGGTTACTGCAACCTCCAGAGGCCAGGAATGTGAGTGCTTAAGATGCACGGATTTGCACTGACCCGCACAGGAAGCAAAAGGCTGTGCTCAGTTAAACAGTGCTGGTATCAGTGCTCAGTTAAACAGTGCTCAGTTAAACAGTGCTGGTATCATGATCACTGGGCCTCTTGACAACTTGAGAGCTGCACTCCTTACCCAGCGTGTACGTGGGGCCTGAGAAGCTACGGTCCCCGCTGATGCCGAGGAAAGGAGAAACCACTTGCTTCACCAGCTCCTCCAGTTGCAAATAACTCTCACTTGGGCCTGTGGGCTCGTGAACACTCTGGAAAATGAACAGCCAAGATACACAAAGGTCAGTGTTCATTGCCATGACCAGCAGGTTCTCACTCAACAAATCCTGATTGTCCTCCTCCAATGTACAAGGCTGTGTTGCTGGCAGGCAGCATCCTTGCAGTTAGGATGAAGGAAACTGAGGCCTGAAGCCTTAGTCACTTGTCATGGGTCACTGCAATTAGAACTGTGCATGGTTAGTACCACAGCAGCCTCTCCCACTGGGCCACCAATGCAGTGTGGGTGTCCCACCTCCAAGGCTGAGATCTGGCTGGTCTCAAAGACAATAATCCTACCCATACTGTCATCGTGACTGGTTCATAAACAGCACAGAGACATTTAACATATATTAATGCACGGAGGTCTCCTGACAATGCAAAGAGGAAGGTGCTCTTATTATCCCCCTTCTGTGGATGAAGAACTAAAGACCCAGAGAGCTTAAATACCTTGAGCAGAAAAACACAGCCAGTAAATGGCAAAAACCCTGAACTGGAACCCAGGCTATCTGGCTCTGATCCCCTCTTCTGCCACTTGCTAACAGGCTAGAAAAGAAGAGAGGAAAGAATATGGAAAAGTTCAGGGCTATAAGAGAAAGGGATAATTCTTTTTGAGCCAGGAATAGTTTTAGCGCCAAGATGAAGAGCCAATTAAAAACCCCGGCATGACAGGAGTCCTCAGAGCTAAGCCCTGAGTAAAGAATGGTCAAAACCAGAAAGGAGCCAGTAACCAATGTTTTCTAGAAAACTGGCAGACTCCTGGGGAGTTCAGCTTCTTGCTGGAAAGGACTCAAACATGCTGTCATGTTGAGGGGCTGCAAAGAAGCAAAGACCACCTGGCAGGAGAGGGGACTGGCCAGGAAAGAAACAAATCTCCATGGGGCTGTGCCCAGCCCAAGGGGTTAACATGCAAATTCTCGAAATGGAGTAGACTCTAAATCACTTTCACTTTCAAAGTAGACTCCACTCCAGTGCAGTGTTTCAGGGATTGAAGGGGAAGCTGTTCAGGTAATGAGGCAGGAAGGGCTGACTCCTGCATGTTGGCAATCCCAGGGGGAGATGTAAGCTGCCAAGGAAACAGGCTCTTCCTTGGCCCCTTTATGGTACCATTACACTGAGATGGGTGCGGCCAGGGGCTGGGGGAGAGAGGACACAGCTTCAGGAAATACAAGGAAGCTGAGGATGGGGCTATGGTGCAGATTTGGAGGTAGAAACAGGGCCAGAAGAGATGCAGAGAAAATGAGTGGCTTCTCCCCCAAACCTTCCATACCTGCTAAACAGGGAGGGACCACAGAAAAAGGAGAAGTGGCAAAAGGTGGGAAGAAAATGGATAATGAACACGTGATTTGGAGCTAGATGGTTTTCTCTCAGAAAAGTTGCTGCTGAGAACTTGGCTTGTGCACAGCCCTCTAGGAAGGTGCTGTCCTCAGCCCTTGGCTTGGCTGCCAAACAGCTATGGAATTTGTGTGGTCCAGCGTAAAATGAAAATGCAGGGCCTCGTGTTCAAAAATCATTAAGAGTGTCAAATGCTGATGGGAGAAAATAAAACCAAGCTCAGGGTCCTCTGAGTACAGGCTGCACACCCTGCCTGGCTGGGGCCCCTGAGAATGCACCATTCCGGTGGTCTCAGGACCTGTCTGCATCAGCTGGGAGGAAACAGATCTTCACAGTGGTCAATATCTCCGATTCTGCCTCTCACTGGGGCAGTTTGAAGGCAGAGCACATGGCCCACTGTAGGAGTATTTGTACAACTTGGGAAGGGTGGAGTTGGGTCAGGGACATTGTGGAAGAGCGACAGAAAAGACGGAGCTGAAGGCCTAAGAAAGAGCTCTTTTCTCTGTAGTAGGGTCAGGTAGTTTTGAAAAATATCAGCCCCAGGTCTCATGGCACTGTGGAAAGTGCATGTCTAGGGAGAGAATGGACAATTCTAAGTACGGAGGCCCAAATTTCCTGTAGCAGATATGGCCCCAGGGCAGTGCCACCTGGAAGTTCCATTCAGATCCAGAGGCCATCGCCCTTGCTGCTCAAGATGGACTTGGGCCGGGGAAAGATCCGGGTTCTTCACAGTCACATCCCCAGCCCCAGGCTCTAGAGCTCCTGGCAAGGAAGAACATGGGCCAAAGGCAACATTCCCAGGAAGCCCTCAGGGGAAGTGATGCCAGATGCCCTGCAGGAGAGAGGGACGATCTTTAATGGTCTGTAGGATGCCTGTGGGGCGTTTCCAAGTACCCTGGGAGACTGCAGAAGGGAGGCAGTAGTTGCCTAGAAAGGCTAAGTGGAGGTAGGAAGATAAGGGCTAAGGGATGGGGAGCAATCCAGCTCTCTTAATAAATGAGTACAAGACCTTGAGAAAAGTCGCCACCTTCTCTGAACCTCCATCTCAGCTGTGAGATGGGAAAAATAATGGTATAGACACAGGAGGAACCATTTCCTTGCCTGACTTTCTGGAAATTCGCCATGATCCCAGAGCTTCTTTGACTGTACTTCCCTCTGCCAAGAGAAGAAGCCCTACATGACGGTCACCAACATGGGTGTGAGGTCAGGGACCCAGCATCAGTCCTGCTCAACCTTCTACTAGCTGGTGCTATATTCCCTGGACAGTGTTTAATTAATACCTATTATGTGCCAAAGACTATGCTGGGTGCTGAGGGCACAAGGGCAAGGAGAAAACATTGACCTGCCTTGATTAGACAGGGGCTTGAGGACCCCAGAAGACAAAGTGTTCTGAGCAGGAGGAATGGTGATCACAAAGATCCCACGGCAGCCAGGAGAAGCCAAGAAGACCAGAAAAGTGAGTAAGTCAGGTTCCAGGCAGGGATGGAAGGGTGGGAGATGCTGAAGGCCAGGGTACAGACTTGGGCTGTTTTTCTAAGATCGATTGGAAACCACTGAAGAGTTTGAGGCCGTCCCATGGAGAGCAAATGGGGGTGGGGACCAGAGCGCATGAGGGTAGATTCTCCTGGGCAAGCAGTCTCACCTGTCTTTGGGGACTCAGGGGTATGATGACAGCTTTCTCATATGGCTGCAGGGCTACCTGGCACAGGGCCCGGAATGTTGGAATGTGATAGACACAGGCCCTCCTGTTCCAGCAGCAACAGGTGAGAGTCTTCACCTGCAGGACTGGATCAATTCTCCTTCCCACAAAACCAAACAAACCGCCACCGCCCAAAACACAAAGGAATCGCTTCTCAGCCCTAAACTATTATAAACTGATATGGGAAGATGGGAGCCCAACTTTCCGAATTTTCCTATCAGAATCCCAAAGGGCTCATTTTCAAGACTCCTTATTCAGGAAGCATGCTCTAATTAAGGCTTCTCAGACCCGAGCCCCACATGCATTTTTCTATCCCCCTCCTTCTCCATCTCTTCCATAAAAATACTTGACCTGGCATTCCGGCCAATTACACCCACCCTCATCCTATTAGGCAACTCTTCCTCCTCTCTAATTACAGGAAAGGGGGAGAATGCCCAGAAGGATGGCCCAGCTTCAAGGACTGAAAGAGAGCACCAGCTGGGGGATGTGGGGGAAGGATTGGGGCCCCAATGCCTGACATTCCATCACTGCTGTGAGGGCAGCAAGGGGTCATCACTAGCCTGATCAAGGATGAAGCCATCTTCCCTGAGGAAGGGCTCAGAGCTAATGCTGCAGCATCTGAACTTGTTACAGAGGTGAAGAGGCATAGTAGTCACCTCTTGGGGGTGTCCCTAGCCAAAAACCCTACTCGTCGAGAATTGTGTGCCCCCACCCATAGGAATGAGTTTGCCAAGGCCATGTTTATACTGCTTGATCTTATTCAAGGGTCATGGCTGATTGGGCAAAGAGGAATCATCTAGCCCAAGCTGGACCAATTAAATTATTTCCTCTGGGGAGGAAGCACAGTGTGCATAATTCCAAATCTTACTGCCTCTTCCTAACTGAGGGACCTCAGGCAAGCACACAAACTTACTAGGTTTCATTTTCCTCACCTCTAAAATGGGAATAACAATGCCTACTTCATACAGTGATTGTCTGGATTATCTGATTAAGGAAACAACACACTTAACGTCCTTGGCCTGTGCCCGGCACATAGCCAAGGACCAATATGTGTTAGCTCAAATTCCTAGTATTGATTTAGAATTGGGATTGAGTGACACTAGGCAGCCACTGGGCAGTCTCTTACTGGAAGCACATCAGCTGTGAGGTGTCACATTCGATCAGGTACAAACCAAACACAGAACATAAGCCTGCAGGGAGAAAAAGACCAAGTCCAGGAAAGATAGGATAAGATGAAGACAGACAAAGTAGCCCAGATACAAGTAGAGACTAGAAAGTAGAGAAAGGATGGTGGCTTCATGGCCTGAGACAGCCTCATTCCTGGTTGTAATCCCTCCTGAAGTCCATCTGCCCTAGGAGCTTTTCAGGGAGTTCCTCATCTGCTTAAGCTAGGCCAAAGTGTATTCTTTGCTGTGACTTGCAACTTGTGGCTCCCTGGCATCACTGGAGAGGGGAAAAGGGCATCTACTTCCTGAATGAAAGACTATGCTTCCCTCACTCCCCAGTGTGGTCCTGGCACCAAGCACAGCACCAGGACCTAACAGGTGCTCAGTGAATGCACCTCAAATGAACAAATGAATGAATGAATGAACACGGGCCAACAAACTAAATAGTAGTAAGCCAAGCTAAGGTGCTCTGGTCACTAGGTTCCTTCCCCCTCATCTCAGAAAGGCAATCTCTTCCCTCGCTCCCTCCCTCTGCCTTGGGGCAAGTCTCCAGCACAGCCTCACCTGCAGGATGAGCAACATCTGGACAATGGACGAGGGCAGCTTGGACTGGGCCAGCAGCAGCAGGTCACCCAGCTTCACCTTCAGCAAGACTAGGTCTCGGAAGCCCAGCAGGGAGATCTGGCGGATAGTCAGCTCCTGGCCCTAGAGGGGACAGAGGAGAGAGGGCCGGGAGGTGAGAGCTTACTGAATCTGCCACCGACCATGTGGGGTTCAAGACAACACATGTTTATATAGCACCAAAGATGGGATGAGGCGTCTGCAAGGGCCAGTGTGTCTTTCAAAGAGCCAAAGACCTGGCTCCTCTAGAATTAAAATGCTGTTAAGATAAGGCATGACTCAACCTGCCTACCTAAATGACCGAAAGACAATACAAGGCACATATAATCAGGGCCACACTATTATAAGTGCTATGAGTGGTCACGAAGGAGAGAAAGAGAAAGATGGGAGAAACAAAGAGAAGATCAATACTACCTCCCTACATTCAAGGCCGTTTTCTCAACTTCATCTATAATATATCTGAACATCTATCATACAAATAAAGAAGGAAAACACAGGACCTCTTAGATTGTTGTATAAATACTGTAATTTAGGAAGAAAAATAAATAGGAAAGTAGGAGAAAAGGGATTTGTTCAATTGTGGGGATGGGGTAGGGAGCAGAAGGTGAAAATAATAACTATAAATAAGCTAACATGTATTAAATTCTATGTGCTAGGCATGATTCTACATAGTTTAGATGTCAACCTGTGTAATCCCCACAACCACCCTTTGAGATAGGTACCATTATAAAACCCATTTCACAGATGAAACACCCAAAAACCCAGAGAGTTACTCTAATTCAACCAAAGTACAGCTGCGTTTCAAACCCAAACTTCTTGATTTTAGAGCTGCTCAAGTTTCCCAAGACCAAAAGAGAAAGGAAGGTGCACTTTTCAGTCTCCTTTACACAATACATACAACATGCACTAAAAATCAGTTGTTCTTGGTAGAGCCAAACCCATTTCACAGATGAAACACCTGAAAACCCAGAGACTTACTATAATACACCCAAAGTAGAGCAGGGTTTCAAACCCAAACTTCTTGATTTTAGAGCTCAAGTTTTTCAAGAACAAAAGAGAAAAGAGGGTGAATTTTTCAGACTCTCCTTTGCACACATACATACAAATGCACACTAAAAGCCGGTTGTTCCTGGTAGAACCAAAGACATCATTAGGGTACCCTCCCAAGCTGACCAAGGTTTAAGGATGTTTTATATTTCCTGCAACTCCATAGAGTTTTATAGAAACATGGTCAAGAGTGGTTTTGCTATCTCCATATCCCCTGACCCCCCACATCCAACAGATACACACAATCACCACCCATACATTTCAATACCATAAAAAATTATAAATAGAGCTCACATTATGTTGGGTGCTTTAAATAAGTTATCTTATAATGAGAGACTTTGACTGGGTTTTATTCCTTCAATATCTTTTAAAAGTTGGCCAGTTGGTACTACCTCTGTTGGATGGATTGATGGACAGAGATGCTGAGGCAACAGGAGAGAGCCAGCATTAGGCAGCATTATTCTGGCCAGGTCCTGGCTCTTGGTCCTTTGTGATGCTGGAAGCAGAGGGGACATAAACAACTTTTTGTTCACAACCTTCCAGGGAAGTGAACAATAGAACTGTCTGATTTAAACTATAGAATGTGGGAAGAGAGAAAAAGGAAGACTGGGGCAGGCAACCTTCTAGAAACTAGAACAGCAATTCTGGTGGGAAGGAAAGACTGCAAAGCAAAAGGAAACAATTCTAGGACCTCCTGCTCCAACAACTGCCAAATCACTTTCCAGAACTGATTATTTAGGAATTCCCTAGAAGGTCATCAAGGCATCCCGAAGGACTCTTCATTCCCCTGAACTGCACTCCAAATAGACGATTATTTTGCCTTATTGTTTTTGGTTTTGTATTTATATTATAAAACATTTAAAGGCAAAGATTAAAACAGATCAGAAAAAGGGCTTAAGGTAAAGTTACAAGTCCTCTTCGTCTAATCTCTTATTCTCACTCCACACTGGTAACTGCTCCTTGAGGTTTTTATTTATATTCTGAATTTCTCCAGAAAGTTCCTATATCCACAAAATCACATATAAAACCTTTAAACCCACACAGAGATTATACCCCTCCTACTGTTCTGCAGCTTGCTTTTGTTTCACTTTGTATATTTTGGACATCTTTTCATACCAGCACATATTGACCTCCCTCACTTGTAAGGCTGCGTAATATTCTACCACTGTGTGAACACACTGTGTGTAACCAACCATCTCCTGACCAAGATGCTTTCATTTGCACACGTGTGTGTGTGTGTTTCAAACATATTTATCCATGCCACGTTGGGCATATTTTATCAGCATATCCAGATTATTCTCCTGCAAAGGAAAATTACTCAATCCAAATATGCCTTTAAAAAGTCGTAAAAAAATACTGCCATGTTGCTCTCCAAAAAGATTGCATCCATTTGTACTCCCAGCAACAGTGTATAAGAGAGCCTACTGTCTTACACCAACTGGGGGGATGATTTCCTAAGTAGGATGACTAGGAAAATACAGGTCATAACCCCACTTAGGCAACTCTCAGGAGCTGTGCCCACACTTCCATAACAGTGCCAGTATATGGTAGACACTCAACAGTCACCCATTGTCAACTCATCTGCTCAGCCCATGACGTGGGAAAAACTCATCCAAATAACTGGATTATCTGCTGTGATTCCAACACATTTTATTGTGCAGAGAATAATAATGATATTGATGATGATGGCGACAATTCTTAAGCCCTTACTGTGTGTCATATGCAAAATTAAGTGCTTTTCAAGTATTATCTCACTTACTCTTCTTAACACTCCTGTGAAGCAAGTTTTATTATTTTCTAGAAGAAAACCAAGGCTCAGAGAAGCAAAGTTATCTTCCCAAGAATATCAAGATGATAAGTGGCAGACTGACAATGTGAACCCAGGTCAGTGACATGGTTTGGATATTTGTCCCCTCCAAATCTCATGTTGAAATGTTTTCTCCAGTGTTATAGGTGGGGCCTAGCAGGAGGTGTTTGGGTCATGAGAGCGGATCCCTCATGAATGGCTTAGGTGCCCTCCCCTTGGTGATAAGTGAGTTCTCAATTAATTCACATGAGAGCTAGTTGTTTAAAAGAGCCTGGTGCCTCTTCCCCCATCTCTTGCTTCCTTCTCTCATCATGTGATACACCGGCTCCCCATCACCTTTCTGCCACGGTTATAAGCTTCCTGAAGCCTCACCAGGAGCAGATGCTGGTACTGTGTTTCATATACAGCCTGCAGGACTGTAAGCCAAATAATAAACCTTGTTTTTTTAAATAAATAAATTACCCAGTCTCAGGTATTCCGTTGTAACAATGCAAAATGAACTAATACAGAAAATTGGTGCTAAGGAGTAGAATGTTGCTATGAAGATACCTGAAGGTGTGGAAGCAGCTCTGGAACTGGGTAATGAGCAGAGGTTGGAAGAGTTTGGAGGGCTCAGGGCTCAAAAGATGACAAAAAGACAAGGGAAGGTTTGGACCTTCTTTGAGACTAGTTAAATGGTAATAACTAAAATACTGATAGAAATAGGGACAGCAAAGGCCAGGCTGAGGTGGTCTCAAGTGGAAATGAGGCAGTTATTGGGAACTGGAATAAAAATCACCCTTTTTATGCCTTAGCAAATAATTTGTCTGTATTGTGTCCATGCCCGGGGGATTTGTGGGAGGTTGAACTTAAGAGTGATGACTTAGAGTATCTGGTAAAATAAATTTCTAGGGCGGGCACAGTAGCTCACACTTGTAATCCCAGCACTTTGGAAGGCCAAGGCGGGTGGATCACAAGGTCAGGAGTTTGAGACCAGCCTAGCCAATATGGTGAAACCCCATCTCTACTAAAAATACAAAAATTAGACTGGCATGGTGGCAGGCGCCTGTAATCCCAGCTACTTGGGAGGCTGAGGCAGGAGAATAGCTTGAACCCAGGAGGTGGAGGTTGTAGTGAGCTGAGATTGTGCCACTGCACTCTAGCCTGGGTGACAGAGTGAGACTCTGTCTCGAAAAAAAAAAAAATTATAAGAAACAAAGCATTCAAGATGTGGCATGGCTGCTTCGAACAGCCTAAGATCAGGAATAGGTGTAAAGGAATGACTTAAAGTTGGAACTTATAATTAAAAGGAAAACAGAGCATAAAAATTTGGAAAATTTGCAGCCTGGCCATGCAGTGAAGAAGGAAAAGGCATTTGCAGGAGAGAAATATAAGAGAGCTGTGGAACAATCACTTCCTAGAGAGATTTGCATGACTAAAAGGGAAACAGGTGCTGATAGCCAAGACCAGAGTTTAAAAAAGGCATTGAAGTCATTTCAGAAACCTCTGGGACAGTCCCTCCCATTACAGGCCCAGAAGCCTAAAGGAAATAATGGTTTTGGAGGCCACGCTCAGGGGATGCCTAGTGCTACCTCAGGACACTGCTGCCCACATCCCAGTTTCTCTGGCTCCAGCAGTGGCTCAAAGTGCCCCAGGTACCATTCCAGCTGTTACTCTGGAGGGAGCAAGCTATAAGCCTTGGTGGCTTCCACATAGTGCTAAGTCTACAGGTGCACAGAGTACAAGAGAAGGAGGCTTTGCAGCTTCCACCTAGATTTCAGAAGATGTATAGAAAAGCCTGGGTGCCCAAGCAGAAGCCTACCACAGGGGTGGAGCCCCCACAAAGAGACTCTACCAGGGCAGTGCCAAGGGGATATGTGGGGTTGGAGCCCCTGACACTTCCTAGTGGAGCCGTGGGAAGGGGGTTCTTGCCCTCTAGACCCAAGAAGGGTAGAGCCACCGGCTTGCACCCTGAGCCTGGAAAAACCACAGGCACTCAACTCCAATCTGTGAGAGCAGACCCAGGGGCTGGAACCCTTCAAAGCCACAGGGGCAGAGCTGCCCAGGGCCTTGGGAGCCCATCCTTTGCATCAGTATGTCCTGGATGTGGAACATGGGGTCAAAGACTATTTTGGAGCTTTAAGATTTAATGTCTGCTCTGCTGTGTTTCAGACTCAAGTGGGGCCTGCTGTCCCTTTCTTTTGGCCAAATTCTCCCTTTTGGAATGGGAATGTGTACCCAATGCCTGTGCCACCATTGTATCTTATAAGTAAATAACTTATTCTTGATTTTACAAGCTCGTAGGTGCAAGGAACTTGCCTTGAGTCTCAGATGAGACTTTGAACTTCTGATTGAGTTGATGCTGGAATAAATTAAGACTTTAGGGGACTATTGGGCAGGAATGATTGTATTTTGCGATGTGAGAAGGACATGAGATTTGGAGTACCAGGGGCAGAAAATATGGCTTAGATATTTGTCCCCTCCAAACGTCGTGTTGAAATGTGATCTCCAATGTTGGAGGTGGGGCCTAGTAGAAGGTAGAGTCATAGGGACAGATCCCTCATGAACAGCTTGGTGCCCTCCCCTTGGTAATGAGTGAGCTCTCACTCTTTAGTGAGTTTTCACTCTATTAGTTCTCACTCTATTAGTATGAGAGAGCTAGTTGTTTCAAAAAGTCTGCCACCTCCTCCCTGTCTCTTGCTTCCTCTTGCCATGTGATACACTGGCTCCCCTGTTGCCTTCTGCCATGAGTGAAGGCTTGCTGTGGCCTCACCTGGGGCAGATGCTGGCAACTACACTTCTTGTTCAGCCTACAGAACCATGAGCCAAACAAGCCTCTTTTCTCTATAAATTACCCAGTCTCGGGTATTCCTTTATAGCAACACAAACAGACTAACACAGTCAGTCATGAGCTAACTCTGCAGCTCATGCTTTGAACCACTTTGTTCCTCTTTGGCGCTGCTCCCCCTCCCTCATTTCTTCCCCAGATTATTCTGTTGCCATCATTTCTTCATATGAAATACCTGTAGTCATTTGGGTCTAGACTGGGCATGGGTAGTTATAGCACTCACCTGGAGAACATGATGGATTTTGCCTTTGGGACTTCTAAGCCCATGGTTAAACATTACACTCTCAGAAGAAAAGGCCTGGATTTATAAGTGACCAGCAGGGCATACTGAATCAGTACCTAGTACCTCCTGTGTTTAAAGGTGAGTTTAACCGGGCCAAGGACAGCAACATGCCACAACCATTTATGTTAGAACTGGCTCCAATATCCCAATCTCTCAATATCTAAATTCCTCCCCAGCATAGGTGGGGGGGAGGTTTTATCTTCAGAACTCCTCGCTGGTTCCCAACCCATAAAGGCCTTTTCTATATGCAGAATCTGGCCTTTGATGCAAGCAGAAAATACTTTTAAGGGAGGGTATGGGGTACCCGGTTTATACCAACCTGCCACATAAACAAGTTAATCATTGCTTTCTTAGAGGGTCATTTGGGGCCATTAACCAGAGCACTGGCTTGTTACCAGGACTTAGCCATCTCTTAGGCCCACAATGAATCAGAGAAGGAATTCCTACTAATCCAGAATTCACTTTTCTGTTCTTGTTTTAGGCTTGATGGGGAAAGCATAACAAAACCAAGCCTGTCTCCTCACAACCTACGTACTCCAAAAAAAATAACAGTGCATATCCCTGTTACCCAAATGCCATCCAGTTTCTCTAGGCTAAGCACAAAGAAAAAGTAAAGCCTAAGAGATACAGTCCTATAAAACTATAAATATGTGAACCTGGATCAGCTGAGAACAAAAAGGAGGAGGAAGGCACAGTTTGCCTTTTTCAGGGTATGCTATATACCTCTGATGACCATTTGCTGCAGATCTTCGCCACCTCCCCGGAATATTCCCTGTCCACAATCTGAATATGGACATGCCCATCTCACCCAAACCCAATTCAGCTAATTGAATAAAGCAGGGTTAGCACATGCGAATGGCCTCAGGAGTTGACAGGAAAAGGGAAGCCAGCAAGGTGGGGGCCATGGCAAACTCGAGAAGAGAAGCAGAATTCAAGTCAGTCATTGGGGAGTGAGGAGGTGAACAGGGGCAATATTAATTGTTGCCAGATCTTACCATCTTCCAAGAGAACTGAAACAGAGCTATCCTTAGACCCACATGTCTGGGCTCCTGCCTGGCTCTGAGCTTTTAAAACCCCCCTCCCCAACCTTTGCCCTCTTGACTATACTGGGGCTATGTCCACCCAGATCCTGCACTCTCCATTCTAGAACCATCTGGACACCTGCACCCTGGAATTCCCTACACAAATGGCCTGAAGAGAGACCCAGGGCCCCTCGAAATGGTGGTACCATGTTGCTGTCCTGGGTCTGGTTCAGTTTGCCTTTAAACGCAGGAGGCGCCAGGTACTGATTCAACATGCCCCTTTGTCCACCTACAAATGCAGGTCTTTCCTGCACACCCCTTCTAGTAGGGCTACCAGATAAAACACGGGATGCCCAGTTAAATTTGAAGAGTTTTTCAGTATAAATATGTCCCAAATATTGCATTATTTGCTTATATATGCAATTCAAATATAACTCAACATCCCGTAGTATTTATTTATTTCGAGACAGGGTTTTGCTCTGTCACCCAGGTTGTAGTGCAGTGGTGCAATCTCAGCTCACTACAGCTTCAATCGTCTGGGCTCAAGTGATCCTCCTACTTCAGCTTCCCTAGTACCTGAGACTACAGACACAAGCCACCATGCCTGGCTAGTTTTTTTTAATAGAGATGGGTTGTCATCATGTTGCCCAGCCTGGTCTCAAACTCCTGGGCTCAAGTGATCCACCCACCTCAGCCTCCCAAAGTGCTGTGCCCGGCCAACATCCTGTATTTTTATTTGCTTCATCTGGCAACCTTATCCCCATGCCTATCTTCCTGAGACAAGACTTACTGATGGCTGATGAGTGACTACTGTAAGGAAGGGGAAGGTTTCTGCAGGCTACAGGACAGAAGCTTCTATCTGTACTATCTTACTGGAAATGTTATGGGGTGGGTCTAACATGGAAAATGGAATCTATAAGCATAACCTCCCAGGTTTTAAATATTTGACAAATGTTTTCAGCAATCCAAAATTCCTTTAAAACACTGTTCAGACCAAACAATCTATGTGGTATAAGGTCATTCTACCCATTGCTTAATGGCTGTGTTCCTCTGCATACGACGCCCACACTTCAACAATACCTAATTACATACGAAGCCTCAACCCCAGTGGGAGGAGAGAAGAGGGAGTACACTGCAGCTTAAGTGAGAGAGACATGTATTTTGGAGAGGAACATCTATGGGTCAACCTCCCTTAGCGGTGGCTTCAACCTGGCAGTGACCATCGTGGTATTAGCTCTACAGAGACAAGGGGGCAAGGGTATCAACACAAATGGTAGGAGTAGAGGCCACAGAATAAGAATACTAGAGGTGTCATTCACATTTTATTCTAAATTCCTTATTTTGTAGGAGATACAATGGAGCTATGCTCACAGAAGATAAATGACTCTGCCCAAGCCCACACTCTTGAATCTAAGTCTACAGATTCCTAGTCGAGCATTCTTCCTACTAAATCACGTAGGATCCCTTACAGAGGAACACGGAATGTTACTCCTTTTTCATAATTTGAATGTGACGGCAAACTTGCTTTAAAATTATGCTTCACAAAAAAAAGTAGGGGGAGAGAAGAAAGATAGAGGCAGGGGAGAAAGAAAGAAAAGAAACAAGAAATCTCCCTTCCCCCATCTTCTGTACTTCTGAAAACTAAGAAAAACAAACCACTCCAAGAATATAAAGACATACTCAAAACCAAGAGGGTAACAAGAGCCTACAAATTGCTAGTTATGCAGGCACTCTTCTTCACTTGAAGTTAGGCCCTAAATATAGAACCAGAGAGCCCTTAAACAATCTCTAAACTCCTTAACCAATACAAGCGCCCAATCTCCAAGTTTTCTCCCATTTACCAGGAGCCCTCAGGCCGCAAGGGCCAGGAGAGAAGACAGATCGCTGAGGATGGCAGGAAGTGTTCCCCAATGAGACTAACCTGAACTGGATAAAATATTGCCTGCAGGGTAGGGAGAGTCTCAGTGAAGAAGTGGTCCCAGACTTCAGCCAGAACCTCAATGCGATTTTCACCTACAAGAGGGCGAGAAGATGGGAAGGGAGGAAGAAAGAAAAGAATTCGTCATTACTTGTAGGAGAGGCCAGAAGACAGTTCCACATAAAATGTCAAGCTGCACATGCTAAAAAACTTGCAGCCAGGAGCTATTAAAGCCCAGAGAGCAGAGGTGTGGTGCTACAGGATCTTAATTCCAGGCTAAGACCAACAGAGATTCTCAGGGCAGAAATATATTCCATCTCACAAGGGTGCACGTATTGATCCTAACTCTCTGGTCTTACTAATAAGTAATCTAAACTTACTAGTCTTCACTAGTAAGACTCTGAATGGGAGGCGCAGCATTAGGTGTGGGGAGGAAAGAGAGCTCATTACTTACATTTGATCTACAAGGTTTTACTATAGTAAATGTAGGACTGGGTGGGAGAACTCAACTGAAAATATGCAAATATGCCTTTCCATCCTCCAATCCAGAAAAGGGAGCTGACATCTTAAAATCACATAGTAATTGTTATTACATGAATTGTTACAACATTATCCAGCACTATGCTAGTTTACTTACCTATAAGATATCTCATGACTAGACTCTAATACCCCCGCTTTACAGGCTCAGAGAGGCCAACTAACTGCCCCAAAGTCACACAGCTCGAAGGCAGAGCTGTGATTCCAGAACCCATGCTCTTGGCCAATCTTATCCAGGAAGATCATGTGCACAGCTATATACTGTTTTGTTTTCTTACTCATTAAGATATTGGCTTTATTCTGGGTTTCAGCTGTCAATGGAGAGAGGCAGAAACAGAACTTGGAAACTGTTTCCTCCACCCACTTTACAGTAACTGGGAAGGCAGCATTCTCTGAAAAGGCCATCTGCAAAACACAGCACCTGCCTCCTGATGCTGTCCCTACTCACTTTGAGGATCAGGAAGCCTAAGCTATGGCCAAGTGTCCCTGCTACCCCAGGCTGGAGAGCACACAGGTCACCCAGTGCCATCAGAAGGCTGTGTGAGGAACTCTGCACCTCCAGGAAAGACGGGCCCTGGCAAAGAGGAGCCTGCACAGCATTTGCTGTTTAATGACCTAGATATCAGAGCTGATATTGGTCACTGCCTCTGCTCATCCCAGGCAGAGAAACTGGGTCAGCCAAGATTAGACACTGAGAGACGCGTTTGGCAAGACACTGCCAGTTCCACTGAATAAATCTTGAAAGATTCATTTGGCGCCTCCCGTCTATTAATTTAATGGGCAATAAAAGCAGTGGCTGGGGAGAGAGAATAGAACAAGGGCATGACTAGTAGCCAGGAGGTCCAAAGATGTGCAGATTTTGAAAGGTCAGGGTGAAATTCACAGGGGGAAAATGCAAATCCAGGGCACCCTCAACTTGCCTGTGCAAACCACTGATCACACTTTATCGGAACAGCTTATTCACTTCTTCTCTGTCTCGTCACTGGAACG
Source organism: Homo sapiens (assembly GCF_000001405.40). Taxonomy (NCBI): domain Eukaryota; kingdom Metazoa; phylum Chordata; class Mammalia; order Primates; family Hominidae; genus Homo; species Homo sapiens. Next base: position 36,435,952 of record NC_000011.10, on the reverse strand, counting down.
GGATTGGGAATGGAGCCCCATCTGTCTTGCTCATCATAGTGCTTAGCATGGTGCAGCCACTTCAATAAATCAATCTTTTAAAATCTTTGCGTGAATGGATGGAAAGTGCCAAGTGTATAGATTTTTGCAGATACTGGGGCTGGTGAGTGGAAGGAGGTTACCATTTAACCCAAATATGGGACAGTGTAGAACAGGACTTAATAGTTAGCATGAACATTTTCCTTTGCTCCTAGGATAAAGAAAACATCAGTAATATGATCTACACAGCCCAGGAGAATCTGCCTCCTCCTCCTGGGTCTTGATCCTCTCTTTTGTATTCCTGTCAGCCTTTGGGCTCTAATCATCCCTCTTTCAGTCACCATTCTCTGTCATGCCACAGGGCCTTTGCATATGCTAGCCCTTCTGCCTTGACTGCTCTTTCTCTCCCTTCTTTACCTAACCTACTTCTGTTTATCTTTCTAGTTGCAGCTTGAACATCACTTCTAGGGGAAAGTCTCTCCCCATTGGTCAAACCACCCCGCTGCAGATTGTATTCTTAGTACTTGTCCTAGGTACAGTTTTATACTTGGTGATGATTTGATTCATGTGTGAGCTCCATGAGGGCCTGTAATGCTGTGATGGTTTTTCTGATTCCTGACTCCCCAGCACCTAGCAAAGTACTGGCTCATAGTAGATAATCAAATAAACATTTGATTGAAGCAGTCACCATCCTCTTTCAAATATAGGCTATGCTGTTTCACTGCAGGGAGGAGGAGGGGGAAGTCTAAAAGGACCCTCTCACAATCTGAGTCACCCTGGTTCCTAGAACCAAGGTGAACTCCAGCACCTGGATAATTTACCCCAAAGGGCAAAAGGTTACTCCAGCTTCTTTGTTGATGTCCCTTATCTTAAGCCTTCTACAACCAAGACAAGCAGAGGCCCTCTTGACCTGAAGGAGGGGAAGAAGAGAGAACCTTGCAGGTCAGCACTGGTGCCTACTTACTCCCCCTTTCAATGCCAAGACAGGATGCTCATTGGCACACAAGGTAATTCTGCAACCCAGCAGCAGTAAGACGCCTCCCGAGAACCCAGGTCTAATTGCTGGCTGCAAACTTCAGAGAGTAAGGGAGGTTTTGGAAAGCGTTCAGAGAAGAACATCTGACAGACACAGACCCAGCAACAGGGTAGCCCTGGGGGAGAAAGAGTTAAAGAACACAGGTGCCTTCCCTTCCAGAAACAGCCCATAAGTCAAGGACTTAGCTCCCTGCAAAAATGAAGGGGGTTGGATGGATGGTTCTAGGTGACCGTCCTATAAATCTGCCCTCTAATGTAACGCAGCAGTTTAGGTCACCAGAAGTATATAGGTAAGTATAAGAAACTTCCTAAGACTCAAGGTCACTAAGGCTCTGGAAAAGTTGAAGTTAACATGGCATCTTCTGCCCACAAAACAGCAATAAGTGGATATGAACAGCCACCTGTCTTTTCTGCATCAGTAAAGAAGGGGTGTGTATATATAGACATGTAAGTACCTAAGCGGAGATGTCGACAAAGAGGAGTTTGTTCAGTGACTGGACGGATCATATTAATTGTTTTCAAACTTTGTTTTATAGCAAGTTTTATCCAAACACAATTTTTCTTGGAGTTCTAATACATAAAATTAAAAAGTAGAGATGCCTGGTTGAAGATGGCAGAGTCCCTTAAAGGTTCCCCACATGCCTATTCACTGTACAGAACAGGCCCCAACACCCAGAACTCTAAGACTAGAAGAGACTCAGAGAATATGCCAGGCCTGGTGCTCTCAGGCCATGCCAGGGCAGGGGGACAGAATCTTGGATGAACTTTGTTCATCCTGTCTAGCCCCATTTCTGAGTTTTCACTCTGAGTGTATCTATGATGAGGGTTACTTGGGTGAGAGACATTCAACTTCCCCTTTTAAGGGCACTTGAACCTCTGGTTTTATTCAGTTTCTTTTTCATAGAGCTGTTTTTCCACATTTCCAGGAGCTTGTAATAACTCCCCAGATAACATACATACAATTAATATGGCCAGGGATAATGTTTCCTTTCCCTCCCTTTACCACGCAGTTGTCTTCCACATTTTTGTACTAGCCTGACTCCAAAATGCAAAAGAGGGCTGGGCACAGTGGCTCATGCCTGTAATCCCAGCACTTTGGGAGGCCAAGGCGGTGGATCATTTGAGGTCAGGAGTCGAGACCAGCCTGGCCAACATGGTGAAACGCCTACTAAATATACAAAAATTAGCTGGGCGTGGTGGCACGTGCCTGTAATCCCAGCTATTCAAGAGGCTGAGGCATGAGAATCACTTGAACCTGGGAGGTGGAGGTTGCAGTGAGACGAAATCATGCCACTGTACTCCAGCCTGGGCCACAGAAGTGAGACTCTGTCTCAAAAAAAGAAGCAAAAGAGCCACTAAATTCTTGGTCAAAGCAAGTCACCTAAGAATAAGCCCCTTCCTTTGACACATGAGAGGATAAAGCTAATGTAGCATACACATAAAATGGAATATTAGCCTTAAAATAAGAAGGGAATCCTGTCACATGCTACAACATGAATTTGAGGACCTTATGCTGAATAAAACTAAGCCAGTCTCAAAAGGACAAACACCATATGATTCCACTTATAAGACGCCTAGATTAGTCAAAGCATGGAAACAAAAAATAAGATGGTGGCTGTCGGGGGCTGAGGAAAGGGGGCAATGTTGGGAGTTGTTCAATGGACGTGGAGTTTCTGTTTTGCAAGATAAAGTTCTAGAGATCTGTTACACAACAATGTAAATATAATTAACACTACTGAACTGTAAAGTACTGAAATTATAAAGAGGGTATATTTTATATTGTGTGGGGTTTTGTTTAACCACAATTTAAATTTTTTTTTCTAAAGGTCTTGGGTTATTGGGTATTTATAAGGTTGAAAAAAAAATGTCATCGATGTATTCAAGGGAAGAATGGCTACAGGTTCAGCCAACTCTCAAATGTGCAAAGGTTAATTTCTAACCTCTATTCTTCCCAAGGCTTGGTAAGCATTAACTGTTTGCCAGACCTTGGAACTTTCCAGCGTCAGTTTCTCATTTTCCTTCCTACTTTGTCTTTCTAGGAGCCCCTTTCCTGGACACACTCGTGTCTTTCCCAGGGAATGGGAAGAAACAAAAGGATGATGACATGACACCTAATAAGTCTGGATCTGGAAGTAAGTTTGATCTACGGTTCATTAGGCTGGAGCAGAAAAAAAAGAAAGGGTCCGGTATGTTCGCCTGTGTGCCAGGTATGGTGTTATGCCACTCATGTGCCTTATATTCCCTACAACCCCTCACCCCAATTTATCACTTCAAAAATGATAAAAGCTGAGACTTGGAGAAACTAGTAACTAACCAAAAGTCACCCAAGAAGGAGGTGGCAAGCTAAGATCAAGCCCCACTTTGGTGGGAGCTAAGAGTAGCCCTTGGTAGAGTCATGGGGTTGGCTAATTCTTGCCTTTGGAACCTGTTTCTATCTCCATTCAGTTCCTTTCTTTCCTGTCAGTTGGACTTTAAACTCTAAGATCAGGAAATTTCCCTTTATCTATCAAATCATACCCTATTGAGTGAGTGCCTGCTTAGCCTAATGTCCTGCAAATGGACAGGACTCCTCTCTTCTATGACTCCCCAGAAATATTACAAAGGCCTGTAGGAAATAGCTCGGGACAGACCAGAGGAAATAGCATGGAGGATTCACAGTATAACTTATACCTTCAAAGGTGACCACCAGCCTGCATCCCATTAAAAACAAAAACAAAAACAAAAACAAAAACAAAACAAAAAAAAACCCTGAACAAGGTCTCCAAAGAAACCACCCCGTCCCACTACATTTTTCTGAAACACAGTTCTGACTTGCACTGCTGTGAGCAGCTGACTCAAATCAAAGTGCTGCTGCCTAGGTAGGGAGGAAACGGACAGGGTGAATCACTCGCTTGGAGCCTGCCCCTTCTGGACAGAAGCATCTCAGCCGTCCAGACATCAAAGACTGAGTCACAGAGGCCCCAGTCTACCAGGGCTGTCTTGTACTTGCCTTCACACAGCTTGATCTTCTCCTCCACAAAGAACAGTCCTTTTGCAAGAAGCTGGTTCTGCCAAAAGAGAACAAAGAACATAAGAATTTGGACAACTCCAGAGCGTAAGTGATGAACCCTCTTCCACTTCCAGTGGGCAAGGGCACAGAGTTCTAGGCACTTGTGTTCTAGCCGTGCCTCGGAGTTTAAGAAGCCTTTTTTCCTCTTGGAAGGTTAAGGCTTCCGGAGAAGACAGTGAGACTTCCCATAGCAAAAGAACGAGTGAGATAAGAGGCAAACCCAACCGCCACCCTCATCCCTCAGACGAGGGAAGAGGCATGACACAAACTTGGGATGAATTCGCTATTGTTGACACCCAGTGTCCTAGAGGCCCTTAGTGATCTAAACTCACAAAAGGAAGCATTGAGGCAATGGGAAACTATGCAGAAATAACATATTTTTTTTTAAAAAAAAAGATAAATTTAGGGCTTCTCACACTAGCATGAAAGAGACTGCGTGCAAAATCTTAAGCAGCAGTGAATATGCATCTGTCAATGAATGTGTGCATGGGAAATTGTGGAAAGAGAAAGTAAAGTCCTCTTGCAACTGCAACTAACAATTGTTGAGCGTCCTGTCTACATCATAAGATTTATATCCTTCATCTCATTTAATTCAATCCTATCAAGTTGGTGCTACTGTCCTCACTTTACTGATGGTTAGTGAAGAGACTGCTCAAGGCAGACAGACCTGGTCTTCCTGGGTCTGTAAGCCATGTTCTTTCCACTCCACTTCGCTGCCTTCCAGCAAGTCTTCCCACCCAGACCCCTTTCTTCCCTTGAAAGGCTATAGTTGGCCCCCTAAGACTTCTGCAAGTCACAGAAGCTCAGAGATCAATGACGGGCTGGTGTCTTTACACTCATGTCATATTATTAGATTACCCAGGCCTATGATTATGGGAGAGGCAGCTGCAAAGGTGATATGTATCTTACCAAAGTACCTAATGCATTCTTTAGCCTTCTCCATTATAAAACCCTAGATCCTACTGCAATGATAAAAGAAGCATATGGAGCAGAGTGGAAAGAACTTGGGTATCAGTTCAAGTTCCAGCTCAGCTACATTCTAGCTGTGCGATTTTGTATTTAATTTCCCTGAGTCCCAAGCTCCTCATATGTAAAATGGCATAATACTAGCAATACCATAACATTCTTCATTATAATCATTATAAACACATTAATCATTATAAACACATACACACAGTATTTTATGTCCTTAGTAATCAGCACTGGTGGTAGGAATAGTAATAGCTGCTATCTCAGCCCAACTTCTTCAAAAAAGGAGTGGGAGGCTGAGAGTCAGTAGTGAATGGGCCTTTATAAAATGTACTAATAGAACATTTTATCAAAGGTACTATCCCATTTCTGTGATGGATACACATTAACCAAATTCATACTCCTATTAAGATTTACAAAATATGACCTAATTTGAAAAAGTAACTGGTCATCAGGTAGTTCTTTCTTTTGAGATGGAGTCTTGATCTGTCACCCAGGCTGGAGTGCAGTAGTGGGATCTTGGCTCACTGCAACCTCTGTCTCCCAGGTTCACGCAATTCTCCCACCTCAGCCTCCTGTGTAGATGGGATTACAGGCACCAGCCACCATGCCCAGCTAATTTTTGTACTTTTTTGGTAGAGACGGGGTTTCACCATGTTGGCCAGGCTGGTCTCGAACTTTTGACCTTAAGTGATCTGCCCACCTCGGCCTCCCAAAGTGTTGGGATTACAGGTGTGAGACACCACACCCAGCCACCATGTAGTTTCAAGATGGCAGATAGAACACCAAATCAAAGTTACAGTGACACCATATAGGAATACACCAACTTTGTTAAAGGAAAAAAAAAAGCAATTCCTTCACAAAGAATTGTGAAACACACAGGCAATAAAGACAAAGCCCTAACCTGTTCTTTAGCTTCCAGCCAAGTTCATGAATCCCAGCTGGGTCATGGCAAGACTTTCTGGGTCAGAAAGCAAGAAAATACATCAGCACCAAATCGACATCTTGTGACAGCTGAGCTGGACATGAGTGGTCTGTGGAGGTGTGTTCAGATGGCAACCACTCCACCTGAATGCTTCTTAGCACAAATCTCATTTGTGCCCTGCAGTCTCCACCTGGTTGGTCCCTTTCACCTAGTCCAGGTGAGGTTCTCAGAACGTCCCCTTAGCATTCTGTGCATGGGCTCCTAAATGTCATTCTTCTCAGCACATCTAGTGTCAACACTGATGTTCCAGGCTTCTATTAAAACAACTTTCCTAACCCTCCCTAATTTCACATTTCTGAGATGCACCTATAGAGGTAATAGAGATCGCCTCTGTGATTCAATTTTCATCATTTTGTTCTATCACTATAATTATCTACATGGGGGGAGGATAGGGGGAACTGAGGCATGGACAGAAATGAAAACCTAGTCCAGGTGATAGCATGAGTTAACAGAAATTAATTCAAACCATTCATTTGTTAGAATTTTAGGTCCTTAGGAGTGAGGACCATATCTCATTTTAGTTAGTACCCTTGGCTCCTGGTATAGTACCTAGAACATAGTAGGTGCCTAATAAATATTTACTGAATATATATACTGGCTATTTTAGTGATAAAGATTTTTTATTTTTAAGAAGCCAAGATAAAAGACAGAATATTTTAAAGAAGAATAAGTGCTATAGGGTCCCTAAGTTTGTTGCCATTTTCTTCATTTGAATTAGAAAATCATTTGAAAATTACATTGTCCATATCTTATGGAATAAACCTCAAATCATGGCCTGGATTTTCCTTTCTTCTCCTTTCTAGGTCTTCTCCCTTCAAGGAGACCTTAGGAAAAAAAATCTTTTTTATATATTTTCAAGGAAAAGTAATTATTCCTATATTATGGAGAAATGATAAAGAAAATACTCTTTTAAAATTTGTCACAATACACAGCATGGAAATTCTATAGCTTAGACCAAAATAAGAGAAACACAAACTTGAGGTTAGAAGGGGTCTTAAGAATCATCTATACATTCTCTCCTCTCCCCAGTCCTACAGTCAAAATCAATTGGTCACACACATTTTGATGATATTTAGTAGATCCATTTCCATTTTCCAGGAGGCTAAAGTACCTTTCAAAGGCATCTTGAAAATCCTTATATAACCCCCTGCCCCCAGGAGTCTGTAGATTTTGCTCTTATCTTATAGCTGTATAAACCGAGGCTAGAAGTAGGGTCTCCCTCTCCAAAATTCCAATAAAAGACATGAGAGTGAGGCTCAGTCTCTCTACTACTCATGTTTTATTCAGCACACACTATCAGAGTAAGGATCTTTTGAGTTAGCCAAGCCCCAGGACTCTCTTCACTGGGGAACCACTGCCATCCACCCAATGGAGCTGTGCCCATCCATTCATGCTCCAACAACCGAGCCACAGCTGCATCTTCCAGCTTTGCTAATGGGTCTCAAACTGAACCCCAAATCTCCTCTCTAGAGAATTGGAGCCCCAAAGGGTCTTGCATTCTTAAGGCCCTTGTACTCTGAAGGCCTCCACTTGCAGTTGGGTGCTCTGCAGTTGATTCTTAGTATTTTTATCTTTGAATTTATGTTTTATAAGTGAAGTCTGAAGGGATAACAGAACATGCACTGGGGTCTAAAGCCCCAGCTCACCCATGGCCCTGCCTCCTCACCACCTCCCCAGGAGGGATTTTCAGGCACCTACACCTCACCCCTGGTGCCTGGGCTCCACCACCAATGTCACCCTACTCCCAAGGTGCTGACAGAGTCATGTTGGTGGAGGCCTCCGCACCGGTACAGGGAGAGTCAGGACTTGGCATGCACCCTGCAATGTTGTGGGGAGAGGCATAGTGCCAGCCATCCTGCACTCCCTGGACTGGCAGTGCTGCAGTGCAATTGCTGCTGACTCAATGGGGACCTCTCGCCCACTCTCCATCTAGGTACCAAGAGTGCCCAGTGCAGATGTGCAATCTCTTGGGGTTACCTGCCCACTATGAGCTGCAGTGGCAGGCCAGTGGGAAGGGGAGATTGGCATCCCCACACCAGTCTGGTGAGTAGAGTTGTTTTAGAAGAAGCCAGGGACACCAGTGTTGACATTAGAGGTGGTGAGAAGAATGGCATTCAGGATTCTTGCACAGAATGCTGAGTACCCACATGTTCCTTCTGCACTGGGCTCTGCAAATTATGAAGCTCACCCTGTCACTTCACCTAAAGATAGGCCAACTTGACATCTGTGGGGCTTAAGCCTGCTCAAATGGGTTGAAGGCGGGGCGAAACCCAGCCTTGGGTTTCAGGCAGCCATCTTGCATTGTTTGTTCTTCCTAAGTGTCCAGTCTTCCTGGACCTCACCTCACAGTATTCCCATCCCCTGACCAATGCCTGACTCCAGAAGTTTCTGAGTGTTTGCTGGCTGCTGAGCTGTAGTGATGGAGCTGTATGGTAACAGAGCTGGAGATGACCCAAGTTTCTCTTGTCCCACTCCTTGCCTGATGGCACCAACCCCACCACCTCCCCAGGCAGAAGACTAAGCCAAAAATGGTTACTAAATAGTAACCACCCAGGAAGCAACTTGGGACTTGGAACTGGGCCCATTGTTACTTAATGCATCCTCTCCCCACCCCATAAATGAACTTGGACACAGTCAAGTCGCACTATAATGAAGTGGCAAAGGAGATGGAAGTGAAAAAGAAAAACAGCTGACGTATCTAATTTTCCTAAGACATAGAAAAACGGGCTGCAAACAGAAAAATGAGGCTTAGCTAGGAAAAATGTAAACAAGATGTTTGGGGAAAGGCGTCTAAAACCACCCAGTCTTCAGTGGACAGGAAAGACCCAGCTCCTCCCGGGTCATCACAGAGGGTGGGTTGGAAAGGTGGGCAGAACAGAGCAGAGGGTGGCCATGGGTGGTGTGGGGCTACCAATGATGCATGCCTCCTGCCAAGCAGGCACCTTCACAACCCGGTGGGATGGACCCAGATGAGACGGATAACCAAGAAGGCTAGGTACAGGGAGAACCCCATCTTCCCAGCAGGAAGAACTTTCCACACAGACCAGGAAGCAGGAATTCTGTAAACACTAAGGCTGCTAGCTACCGTCCCTTTTAATGTTTTAGTGGTGATGACAATGCAGTAAGAATGTCAGTGGAGTCAGTTATTGGTTTTTACTCAGTGTCAGACACTGTCTTACAGTCTTTTCCTGCCTTCTCACATTTTACTTTCGCCACAACCTATCCACTTTTTGCAAATAAAGAACTTGAGGCTCAAAGAAGCAACTAGCAAGTGTGAGACCAGACTTTGCACCAAGGTTGGTCTGAATCCAAAGCCCATATCTTTCCCCTATTATATTCTTCTGGTTTACTTAGCAATAGTAATAAAAATACTGATACAAATACTTATACCTTGTTGACTGCTCACTATGTAATCAGGCACTTTGTGTACGTCATCTCACTTAGTAACCACATCAACCATATGAAGTAGTTCCCATGATTCCACCTGGATTACTATTAAGAAAACTGAGCATCAGAGAGACTAAGTAACGAGGCTGAGGTAAGTGTTCTAACAAAGTAAGTGTTCTAACAAAGATTAGAAGTGTTCTAACAAAGATTAGAAGATTAGATTAGTAAGTGTTCTAACAAAGATTAGAACCCAGACCTACTGGCAGAAGGGCTGGTGCTTTTAGACATCATGCTCTCCTGCCTTAGAGAGGTGTCCTATGTCCTTGCCCAGAGGAGAAAGCAGATGGGATCCATTACAGATTCAGATACTGGGGCAGTTGGCTTGGCAATCTCAGGCCATGTAACTGGGTTCTGCCACAGGGCCTCCACCCAGCTGGGCCTTCCTCTCGACTATCCACATTCAACATCTAGCAAGGGGAGTGCCTGGCACTCGAGTGGATTCCATTTCCAAGTGAGATATTCTTTCCTACCCCAGAGGGGTGGCAGCTGTGTTGCTCTGCCTTCCCAGAACCTGTGTTAACCAGTTTCACTCCAGACATTTGCTTCTGGTGATATCAATGTCTTAGAAGGTTCCTGTTGTTGGCATAAACCCAGGGCTGCAAATTATAGGCCACTTCCAGTTTTTTTTTTTCCTCTATGACTTTGAAAGGCCAGCCATCACCTCTAATGATGTGCACATCTCCTGTGAACCTGGATGCCTTCCTAGATAAACAACAAAGTCTTACAAACACAACTTACTCCCAGGCCCAGAGAGTTCCTAATAAGCCAATGTTGGTGTGTGTGGGTGTGATGAGACCCGCGAGAAGTCCCCAGATGGAGATTGAAGAAGTGGAAATTCGGTGCTAATGCTAATTCTTCATTTAGCACTGTTTCAGCCATAGTTAAAGCGTGCATTGGGGCCTTAAAAAGGTTATGTTTATAAGGAAGAAGGAAGACAGTCCATGTCTGACTTGCTGAACATGCAAAACGAAAACAACAACAAATAAAGTAACCCTGGAACTCCTCCTGCCTGGGTTTTTGGGTTTTTTCCTGGAGATTCCTTGAGGGCATTTTAAATATAATCCAAGAGATTTTTCTTCTGTGGCCAGATGACCTGGGCTGGGTCTTCATGCCACCATTTACTAGCTGTATGTATTTGTATCTTAGACAAATAACCCCCATCTCTGAGCCTCAGTGGCAGCATCTGTAAAAGAGGGATATGTAATAACAGAACCGTCCTCATCAGTTATCAGGAGGAATAAATGAGTTAGCCCAGGGGAAATGCTGAAAGCATTGCCAGACTTGAGCGTGCCTCACAATCATGCAGGACTCATCAAAACGCAGATTGTGGCTGGGGGCGGTGGCTCACACCTGTAATCCCAGCACTTTGGGAGGCCGAGGCGGGTGGATCACCTGAGGTCAGGAGTTCGAGACCAGCCTGACCAATATGGTGAAACTCTGTCTCTACTAAAATTACAAAAATTAGCTAGGCATGGTGGGGTGCGCCTGTAATCCCAACTACTCAGGAAGCTGAGCCAGGAGAATCACTTGAATCCGGGAGGCGGAGGTTGCATTGAGCCAAGATCGTGCCATTGCACTCCAGCCTGGGTGACAAGAGCAAGACTTTGTCTAAAAAAAAAAAAACAGATCACTTGGGCCCTAACCCCAGAGTTTCTGAATCCATTAAACTTTGCTTCTCTAACAGATTCCCAGCTGATACTGAAGCTCCTGGTTCGGGGACCATACTTTGAGAACCTTCAGCTTACAACAATGCCCAGCATGTACGTGCTTGAAAATGTTAGCCGTCACTACCATTATCATTAATTCTGTTCTCCTTATAGCTCTTCAAGAGCCTCAGAGAAAGTCACCTTATTGCTTTCCATATTGAACAAAAATTTCCCGACGCTTCCAACTCAGTTTCTACTTCTCATGCCCACTGAATCACTGAGTGTTTCCACTATTTTAATACCACGTTGTTTCCAGCATCTGCTCCTACCTTTTATGCCTCCCCCATCAATGCCCTAAGCCTGGCTCCTGCCATTCCTTTCTCTTCTACAGTAAATCACCAAATTCCATATATAATGAGTTCTTGCAAATACATACTTGTGTAGAATACCACACTTCCATGATTTAGGAGGAATTCTGTCCTCATAGAGCTTGAAAGGATTATAAAATCCCTAATTACACCTCATCTTCAGAGCTCATTTTCGGGTGATATATTTTCAGCCTTTGGTACCCATGTGTTCCTTTCTTCCACAACTGATGTGCAATAACCTGAGTCCAATGAGGATAAAGATTTGCCACTTCTGCAAGCCTATTGATTTTCATCTTTATCTCAATTATATTAAGACCTGTGGTCATCAATGTCAAGATCCATTTTTTTCCACGGAGACTCATAAAGTATGATAAAAGTACAATCAAAGTATTCAACTAATTGTACAAAATTCAAATAATTGCTAAGGAGATTAAGAATGGCAAAGCTGCTGAGAGGTGACCTCTGACAGGCAGCGAGCCCCACAGCGAGTAGCCCAAGACACCCAGGGGTGCTTCTCGAAGCCCCCAGTCTGGCTCCCCCTCATTCTCGCCCCTCACAGTGGCCAGTGGGAGCTTCTAGGCCACCCCAAAGCTTATAGATTCCACAGTGCTGTTCTTCTCTAAGTACTGGCCAAATCAAAAAATGCAACCTCTGATGACCTCTCACCTAAAAACATAACTTCTCCTCTGTCTTCTCACCAGATCCCCGCTCCACTTGTTCAAAGCCCCCCTGTGTAGATAGGCCCCAATTTTACCTTCAAAGCAGAGTGTATGTGGAATTCCTTTTACTACTTTCTGTT